>NW_025791806.1:0-172609 GCF_000001405.40 Homo sapiens | reverse complement strand
GAATTCCAGAAGGGAAGAGGGCAGGTGGAGTCACTGGGCAGTCTGAGACAAGCTGAGCACTTGGACCAGGCAGCGAGTCCTGAGTAGAACCAGAGGCAAAATCAAGATCCTAGAGATGAGAGAGGCATCCCAGTGGTTCTTGCCCTGATTTTTAGAAATGATAGAAGTGGATACACTTAGCAACCAGTGCATATGAATACTGACTCTCTGGTCTGTGTGGTAAAAGTGATCAGACTGGGGAAGGCCAAGGGGAAGCCGCTGAGGCTGTCCCTCTGCTGTGGCCAAGATAGTAAATCCCAAACAATATCACATTCTGCCAGGAACACAGAGATCAGTGCCACCCCCCAAGACAAAGAAAACAAGGCATGGTCCCACTAGATCTGCCTTTAATTTACCAAGGTCAATGGGCTAGGGAAAACTAAACCAAGAGCCTGGGCATGGTGGCTCACACCTGTAATCCCAGCACTTTGCAAGGCTGAGGCAGGAGGATCACTTGAGCCCAGGAGATTGAGGCTAGCCTAGGCAACAGAGCAAGATCCTTTCTTTACCGAAAAGTGTTTTAAAAAATTAGCCAGTGCAATGTTGCACAACTGTAGTGTCAGCTACTCGGCTGAGGCAAGAGGATCACTGAAGCTCAGGAGTTGGAGGCTGCAGTGAGCTAGCTATGATTGTGCCACTGCACTCCAGCTTGGGCAACAGAGTGAGACCCTGTCTCCAAAACAAAACAAAACAAAACAAAACAAAACAAAACAAAACAAAACAAAACAACAACAAACCCACCACCATATTAAAGGAATAGCCAAATTTCCAGCTTCTGTGCCAACAGTGACAGGTTTACTAGAATAGATGAGCATAACCTGGTGTGTTGTGTGTGACTGTTGATCTGGCAAAAGCATCCTTTCCGCCACCATCAGGAAGGAGGAACAGAGGCAGGCGCATTCGCTTGGCATGGACAACAGTATACTTTCACAGTCTTGTTCCAGGACTGTGTTAATTTTCTTCTCCTTGTAGTATTGTTCTAAGAAACCTGAATCGTCCAGCCATTGCCCAGAACATAAAGGTAGTCCCCTGTGTTTATGACATCATGCTAATTGCACCTGATAACAAGAAGAGGCTAGCAACTGGATGTGCTCCAGAGGCTGGGAGATAAACCCTACACTGGTTTAGGGGCCTGCCGTGTCAAAAGATTAGGGGTATGGTGGTCTGGGGCATATTGGGTGTACCCTCAGAGTAAAGGGCAGATAAAATAAATTGCATTTTGCAACTCCTACTTCTAATTGACCCACCTGATAAAACTCAGGGGAGGCTTTGAACTCAGAGCCAGCAGGTGTGATGAAGAGTGTGGGTCAGAAGTGGGAATGGAGACTGGGGACCCAATTGGAGCTTTGTTCATGGAGCAGTTCCACAAACATGTTTTTGTTTTGTTTTGTTTTGTTTTTGAGATGGAGTCTCACTCTGTCACCCCGGCTGAAGTGCAATGGTGTGATCTCGGCTCACTGCAACATCCGCCTCCCAGGTTCAAGTGATTCTCCTGCCTCAGCCTCCCAAGTAGCTGGAATTACAGGCGTGCGCTGCCATGCTGGGCTAATTTTTGTATTTTTTGGTAGAGACGGGGTTTCACTATGTTGGCCAGGCTGGTCTTGAACTCCTGACCTCAGGTGATCCACGCGCCTCGACCCCCCAAAGTGCTGGGATTATAGATGTGAGCCACTGTGCCCGGCCAAACATGTACATCTTTACATATACCCCAAATGCCTGGAGGCAGGCACTGACCCCCAGGCAAAAGAGCAGGAATTCTTTATTTTAATGTAATATCTGGGAAGCCATGGCAGTGAGAATGCTGGAGCTCAACTTCAATCCTCTTCAGTCTAGAGTTTAGAAGACCGCTCTCTGCCCACGCCCCTTAAAGTGTAGCTTGTAAGTCAAGAAAGAATCAAGGGTTCAAACAATTTGGCATGATAAATTGGAACTATTTTCTTTTCTTTCTCTTTCTTTTTATATTTTATTTTATTTCAATAGTTTTTGGGGAGCAGATGGCTTTTGGTTACAAGGATAAGGTCTTTAGCAGTGACTTCTGAGATTTTGGTGCACCCTTCACTGGAGCAGTGTACACTGTACCCAATGTATGGTTTTTTATCCCTCATCCCCTGCATCCTTTCCCCTAAGTCCCCAAAATCCATTGTATCATTCTTGTGCCTTTGTATCTTCATAGCGCAGCTCCCACTTATAAGTGAGGATGTACAATATTTGGTTCTCCATTCCTGAGTTATTTCACTTAGAATAATGATCTCCAACTCCATCCAGGTTGCTGTGAATGCCATTATTTTGTTCCTTTTTGTGGCTGAATAGTATTCCATGGTGTATATGTACACCGCATTGTCTTTATCCACTCATTGCTTGATGGGCATTTAGGCTGGTTCCCTATGTTTTCAATCGCAAATTGTGCTGCTATAAACATGCGTGTACAAGTGTCTTTTTTGGAACTAGTTTTTTTGCCCAGGCTAGAGAGCAGTGGTGCAATCTGGGCTCACTGCAATCTCCACCTCCCAGGTTCAGGCGATTCTCCTGCCTCAGCCTCCTGAGTAGCTGGGATTACAGGCGTGTGCCACCACCTGGCTAATTTTTGTATTTTTAGTAGAGATGGGGTTTCTCCATGTTGGCCAGGCTGGTTTCGAACTCCTGACCTCAGGTGGTCTGTCCGCCTTGGCCTCCCAAAGTGCTGGATTACAGGCATGAGCCACCAGAGCTATTTTATATACTATTTACTCCTACATACTCTGAGGTCTCAGTTAGCTACACTTTATCTTGTTCTCAACTATGATTGGATAACCAAGAATCAGCAGACACTTGAGGAAGGCTCATAATATAGAAGAAGCAGACAACAAAACAAAGATGTGACCACTGAGTGGAGGGATATAGTTCAAGGAACAGAAGAGAGTTTGAAAACATCAGTAATCAAAGAACCAAAAAAACTTTTCGAAATAAAAATACAGTCTCTAAAATCAATATTTGATCCAAGGATTGGAAGGGAAAGTACAAGCATGAAATAAACAATATAAAAAGCTCCCCAAATGTAGAACAAAGCCCACAGATATGGAAAATATAAAACAGGAGAGAAAAAATGAATCGATTCAGGAGGGAAAGGGAGAGAAAGAGGGAAGGGACCATCTAAAGAAAGTGGGGAGAGACCGGGAAAGAAGTCAGTTCGGGCGTCAGCAGAACAAGTAGATTACAACAGCAGCCAGGGGAAAGTGTGCAGGGATAGGGAGGATGAAATCAGGGCAAGAGGAGGCTAACGAGAAAAGGCAATTTCTCCATTCCTGACCTTCCCCACTGAGCCCAGCTTTGGCTTCAGAGTGATTTCAGAGTGGCTTCAGAGTGACTCATGATCCCAGTGGAAGTGTTCCTGGGGGAAGGGGCAGTGGGTCAGACAGCCCAGGGCAGGAAGAGGCAATGAGATGTCTTACAGTGGGGCTGCCTGGAAGAAGCCTGGGGCATGGGCTTTCTCCAGCAAGGCTGGGTGTGAGTCCTGTGCACTGTGGTCTTCCCAAAGTGCTCCTCTCCCTGCACTCCTCATGGCTGGCCTTGTCCGTCCTCTCCTCCAGGCAGTAGATCCCGCAGCTCCTCAATGCTTGGGTTCCTCCTGGCTCCTCCTGCTCCTTGGCTCCTACGTGCACTCCCGTGCAAACCTGACCAGTCCCGGACACATTTTCTTTTCCACATGCACAAAAGTTTGGGCACACCTTGCAACATACACTGTACCTTAGTCTTTTCAAAGAATGACACCTCTTTTCTCCTAATATGTAAAAAGAGAAGTAGCTACAGATGTAACAGGAAGTGAGCAAGAGACTTGAAGGAGATTCGAGTAGGTTTGCGGTGTTGACTTCCGAGCTTGGATTCAAGTCCCTGAAGGGCACCAGACACCTGTGATCACCAAGGAGAGGAGAGGAGACAGGACCATGTGGCTGTCCCCATCTCTGCTGCTTCTCATCCTCCCAGGTGAGTGTGGCTGGAGCTTTAAGGCACTGGAATGACAGCGGCTGGCTTGGAGACAGAGACGCTCTGTTCTCAGGAAGGAGACATGTCAGGGAAAATGACAGCGCCAATTCATCCATCCATGCCCATATTCATTAAATAGCAATCAAGTTTTTGTTATCTGACAGGTTCTGTGTTAGATGCTGCAGAAACAAACACACACAAAACAAAACAAGTATAGCTTCTTGTTGGAACAGTGGTTCTCAACCCTGACTGTTCCATATAAACAGATGAATGAACAGATATCAATGAAGGAAGGAACTAATGAGTGAGTCCATTCTTGAAGAACTTTTTTTTTTTTTTTTTTTTGAGCTGGTGTCTCGCTCTGTCACCCAGGCTGGAGTGCTTCTTTCACTTAGCATGATGTTTCAAGGTTACTTTGTGTTGTAGCACAAATCAAAGCTTCATTCTTTTTCATGGCTGCATAGTATTTCACAGTGGATATACCACATTTGGTTTCTCCAGTCATTTGTCAATGAACCTTAGGGTTGTTTCTACCTTTTAAAAATTGTTAGTAATAATGTTATGAACTTTCATAGCACAGTTTTGTATGGAGATATGTTTTCAGTTCTCTTGGGTATATATCTAGGGGTAAAATGGCTGAATCCTATGTTAATTCTATGTTTAACTTTTTGAGGAAGCATCAAACCTTTTTCCCAAGGATTTATATTTGAGTACAGCTTTGGCTGTCATGTCAACAAATTTTGATACGTAGTGTTTTCATTTCTGTTAAAATGTAACAAATCTATGTGCTTCTCATATTATCTATACTCAGATCAAGCTTTGTAAGAAAATTTTTCCTTCCAATCTCAAATTTATTTTCTTTTAAAATAGATTATTATTATTATTATTATTATTTTTATTTTTTTTTTTTTTGTAGAGATGAGGACTCACTTTCATGCCCAGGCTGGTCTCAAACTCCTGGGCTCAAGTGATCCTCCCACTTTGGCCTCCCAAAGTGCTGGGATTATAGGTGTGAGCCACCATGCCTGGCTTCAAATTTATATTCTGTAAACAATTTTCAGATATATTCTCCTTCCTTTCCTTCCTTCTGAGACAGGGTGTGCTCTGTCACCCAATCTGGAGTACAGTGCTGGGATCAGGGTTCACTGCAGCCTTGACCTCCCAGGCTCAAGCCATCCTCCCACCTCAGCCTCCTGAGTGAGTAGCTGGGACTACAGGCATGTGGTGCGACACCCAGCTAATATTTATTTATTTATTTAGTCTCGCTATGTTGCCAGGGCTGCTCTCAAGCTCCAGGGCTCACGCGATTCTCCTGCCTCAGCCTCCCAAAGTTGTTATATTACAAGTGTGAGCTACCACACCCAGCTCTTATTTCTTATAAATAACTTCCAGATGTAGTTTTTCTTTAAATATTTACCTTAATTGTTGTCTTTCCATTCTGATGTAGAACTTTTTTCAGAGTGAACAAATGAAGCCCCTATACCCATCTTTCCCCAGGAGGTCGTGTGTAGTTTCTTAGTTCCCTTCAGATGCCATAGAAAGCAGATTTGGGCATGGAGTCCAATTTCTGTTCCAGGAATTCCTTGGGTTGTGGAGCTCTGCCTGTTTATGGTGAAATTGTCTTCCGCTCCCACCATGGTGACCCTGGTTTTTCAAGACATTCCAATGAAGTCTAAAGTTTTCATTCATCCAGGGGTAATAATAATAATAATAATAATAACAAACATAATATAGTAACATAGAGGTAGATGCCATTACTATTCCCACTTATAGAAAACGAAGTCACAGTGTATTAGTCCATTTTCACGCTGCTGATAAGGACATACCCGAGACTGAGTAAATTACACAGAAAAAGAGGTTTAATGGACTCACAGTTCCACATGACTGGGGAGGCCTCACAATCATGGTGGAAGGTGAAAGGCATGTATTATATGGCAGCAGGCAAGAGAGAGAATGAGAGCCAAGTGAAAGAGGTTTCCCATTATAAAACCATCAGCTCTCATGAGACTTATTCACTACCACGAGAACAATGTGGGGGAAACCGCCCCATGATTCAATTAACTCCCAACTGGTGCCCCCCACAACATGTGGAAATTATGGGAGCTACAATTCAAGATGAGATTTGGGTGAGGACACAGACAAACCGTATCACACAGAGAGGTTAATTTGCCCAGGTTCACAAAACTTATCAGTGGTAGAGCCAGGATTCAAACCCAAGCACTCTGGCACAGCCTGAGCTCTTACCCACGACCTTGGGTGTCTCTTGGCGTTTCAGAGACAACCTCTCTCCTGCCACAGGAATTGCCCCCAGGGCTTCTTCAAGTGCTCCAATGTGCTTCTAGTTCCATCTCAAGTTTATGCTGCACTAATCACAGCTATGGTTTATTGCCAGTGCATAAATCATCAAAATCAATCGTTTCTTTAGATGGGTCTCCCTTTAGGTCAGTTGAATTTAAAGAATTTCTGGCAAAGCTCTCACTTAAGGTATTTCCACTGTTTTGAATTGTTTTCAAGTGAAAGATTAGGCTGACAAGTTCATGGAGACTAGTCTTGTCCTGGATCAAATTGTTTGAAAAGTGGAGCTAATTAGGTATGCCCGTTCCTCACCCTTTAACTGACTTGAATCATGTCCATTATGTTTAGAGAAGAACTTATAAGATGCAGAAGGGTGTTGAATGGGTGCTGCTCTGTTTATACCTAACCTTTACTTGTGTTTATCTTAAAAGTTAGCTTTTCCTAGGAATTTTGGAAGTGGAATTTATAACACTGTATGGCGAAATGGAGATCTGTGTGATGTGGATCCCATAGCAGATAGAGACCAGTTGGCATCACTATTTGGTTGATTTCAAAGGGATTCATTCAGGGTGATTAACTACAGCAGAGCCACCAGAAACCATTAGAACCACTAGGAACAGCCAAGCATCAAGGCAGCAATCATTCTTCTGGAAAAGGGCCTTCTGCCATTTCCTCCCCATCAGACCAGTATAACACAAAGATGGTTGCCAAAGAGCATTCCTTGGAATATAAAGATTTGCTGGCCATAGGGAAAGAGAGAGGGGTGAACTGCAGGAAGCTATTATTGCTCAATGCCAACATTTGTGTTTCTTTGGGGATCTGCAGTTGTGCTCTTCAGTGATTTTCCTGGTGACTTTGACCCAGTGGAATTTTGAAGGACAAAGATTTGTCTTGAGGAAAATGTATTGCTTCCTTGACTGTTATAAGGCAGTTGGATTTGGCTGCTACTCCCAATGCACGAGGCTGTGGCCCTGCCCTTGGGGTGGGAGGTGACGACACATGAATTTGCGTTTTCCAGGTTACTCCATTGCCGCTAAAATCACTGGTCCAACAACAGTGAATGGCTCGGAGCAGGGCTCATTGACTGTGCAGTGTGCTTATGGCTCAGGCTGGGAGACCTACTTGAAGTGGCGGTGTCAAGGAGCTGATTGGAATTACTGTAACATCCTTGTTAAAACAAATGGATCAGAGCAGGAGGTAAAGAAGAATCGAGTTTCCATCAGGGACAATCAGAAAAACCACGTGTTCACCGTGACCATGGAGAATCTCAAAAGAGATGATGCTGACAGTTATTGGTGTGGGACTGAGAGACCTGGAATTGATCTTGGGGTCAAAGTTCAAGTGACCATTAACCCAGGTAAGAGGGAGTGTATATACGTGTGTGTCTCTCAGGTCCTGCTCTGTCCTGGTCCCTGAGGTCCCACTTGAGTAAATTAACTGTCACTCAGAGTGACCTGTGACAGAGGGTGTCTGAGTCCTGAGGTCTTGCTATGGTTTGAATATTTGTCCCTCCAAAACTCGTGTTGAAACTTAATCCCCAATGTGGCAGTATTGAGAGACAAGGCCTTTAAAAGGTGACTGGGTCATGGGGGCAGAGTTCCCATGAATGAATTAATCCATTCGTGGATTAAAGGATGAATGGGTTATCATGGGAATGGAACTGCTTTATAAGAAAAGGCAGACAGACCTGACTTAGCATACTCAGTTCCGCCACCACGAGGTGCCTGGAGCCACCTTGGGACTCTGCAGAGAGTCCCTGCCATCAAGAAGGCCCTCACAAGATGTGGCTCCTCAACCTCGGACATCTTAGCCTCCATAACTGTAAGAAACAAATTCCTTTTCCTTATAAATGACTCAATTCCAGATATTCTGTTATAAGCAAGAAAAAGTAGACTAAGACAGGTCTCATAGGACCCTGAAGGACCGCTTGGGATTGAGGGGATCTCTTAATGACCCCATGGCTCCCAGGGCTCCCTCCAGGATGGGATTAAGTCTTTCTAGGCACATTTTTTTTTTCTCTGCACAGCTCAGTGCCTGAGTCTGTTGCCCACAGATGACAGGGTGATGGTTCCAGTTTCAGCCCACAGGCCAAAGGGACCCCCTTCCCTGGTAACCAGAGACCCCAATCCCTGCCAGTGCCTTCTTGGAACTTCTTTATAGCACTAAGTCCCTGTATCAGAAAAGGAGAAGGGCCTCAAGTCAATGGCCTTAGCTCAAGATACTAGGGAAAAAAAAGATCAAAGTAAACTCAAAGCAAACATCAGAACACAGATAATATTAAGACCACAATGAAAAATTAATGAAATCGAAAACAAAAGTAATAGGGAAAAATCAATGAAATGAGATATGTTTTCTGTGAAAACATCAGAAACACTGTTAAACCTCTACCTAGACTGATCAGGAAAAAGATATAAATTACTAACATCAGAAATGAGAGAGGTAACATTACAACAGATTTTATAGCTACTAAAAGAATAATAAGGGAATATGTGTCGTAAACAACTTTTATGCCAATATATTCAACAAGTTAAATGAAATGGAAAAACATCCTTGAAAGGCACAAACTACCAGTCACAAGAAGAAATAGATAACTGGAATAGCTCTATATCTTTTAATGAAATAGAATTTGTCATTTGCCATCTTCTCACGAAGAAAATTTCAGGCTCAGATGGCCCTTTGGTGAGTTCAGGACCGGATAATATCAATTTTTTTTTTTTTGAGATGGAGTTTCGCTCTTGTTGCCTGGGCTGGAGTGCAATGGCACGATCTCGGCTCACCACAACCTCCACCTCCTGGGTTCCAGAGATTCTCTTGCCTTAGCCTCCCGAGTAGCTGGGATTACAGGCATGCACCACCATGCCCAGCTAATTTTGTATTTTTAGTAGAGACAGGGTTTCTCCATGTTGGTCAGGCTGGTCTCGAACTCCCAACCTCCGTAAAGAAGGGTGTAACTGGCAGGTAATAAGCAGTAGCTGAGCAATATATTCTCCTGGTTCAAAAACCCAAAGACCTTGTGACATTACCACTACTTGAATTTCTCCTTCATAATCAGAATCAATAACTCCTGGGACTAAGGTAATGCTCTGTAAATTAAGACAGCTTTTACCCAAAATTAATCCCATATATCCTGTTGGCAAAGGTCCCCAAATACCAGTGGGAATCTTGGTGGGTTTGTCTCCTCCCACTAACGTTACCTGTTCTCTGACTGGGAGATCGAATCCTGAGCTTCCAGGTGTTCCTGGGGAGAGGGAATCAATGTGCCTCCGGGAACCTATCCCTGAGATGGGGCTGTGGGCTGGACAGGGAATGCCTCCATTGTTTATAGGGCCCGGGTCCAGGCCCCCTTCTCGTTTCCCGACAGGGGGGTGCCATTCTGATGAAATTTTGAGTGGCATTGACTAGCCCAGTTATTTCCTATATTGCAATGAGGGCAAAGTCCTGGCATTTTTTCTGGGGTGGGGGGCTGCATTATAAGATCCCTTCTGCCCAAAGGTCTGACGGTATTCTTTTTTGAAGTGTCCGATTTTTCCACAATTATAACATTTTCCCATTTTAGGATTTGCTCCTTGGCCGTTTTTAGATTTGTCCACTACTAAATTAGCCATTGCTTGAGCCAACATTGTAGAGCAATGAAGTTCAGTTCCCACATCTTGACAAGCTTTGAGAAAATTTCCCGAGTTTTTTGTACATCTCACAGATGCCAGTGCACATTTACAATCTGCATTTGCATTCTCAAAAGCTAGAGTTAAGGTTAGCATTTCTGTAGCCGCAGTATGAGGAATCTGATGCTTCACCGCCTCTTGTAATCTTGCAAGAAAATGTGCATTGGCCACCCTTACATGATATGTAAAAAAGATTGTACTGGGACCCCTTCCTCAGGAATTGTGGCCCAGGCATGTTTAGCAGCCAAGGCACACTGCTTATAAGCAGTGTCTGGGAGTGCCATGTGATGTTCCAGGTCTGAATAAGGACGATTACCTAACAGCATATCCTCTGTAATGTCTCCGTGTCCAGCAGCATGATTCTGTCTAGCCTGGTCTGCACACAGTTCTTGCCAATTTAAATTCCATGTCAGGTATGCACTAGCAGACAAACAAGTGCAAGCCAAATGCTTTACATCAAAGGGTGGAAGGCGCATAGCACCAAATATAGATTCTAGCAATCCTAAAGTAAATGGGCTTTGTACTCCATTATTAACTACACTCGCTTTCAATTCCTTCAGCAACTTAAACTGTAGTGGGGTGTGTTCATGAATAAACTGCTGAGGATTATTTGGATCGGGCCTTATGGAAATAGGAAAAGCGCAAGGTCCTAAGGGCTTTCCAGCTATAGCAGCAGAGCATAAAATTCTTTGTATTGGGGTCTCTATTTCTGCTACTGAAGGAGGCAGTACAGACGTTTCTGCTACTGGAGGGGGTGACACAGGCCAGTTTTCATCCTCCTTCTCCTGTTTATTATTTTTAATTGGTACTGTGGGTGGGACAAAATATTTTTTCAGATTTTTAGACTTGGAATATGATTCCTGCTGTCTAGCAGAATAAGAAGAAGATAATGGCAGGAGGACAGCACGGACTAAACTCCAAGCAGAAAAAACAAAAAGATCAAATTTAAGACCTTTTTGGTGAGCCCGTTTTAATCCTGGTCCTACTCTGTCCCAAATTTCTACATCAAGACTGCCTGTCTGTGGAAACCACGGGTTATGTATAGTGACCTTCTTCAGCATCTTAATTAATGTTTGAGAACTAACCTGAGCACCAGTTTGTTTAAGTAAAACTTTAAGCAAATGCACATAATGTTGCACCTCAATAGACAAATTCTGCCCCATGTTACCCTTATTCAGAAAACTTCCCATTCCCAGTACCTCTCTAGGGCACTGACCTGATATCCCAGTACCTCTTTAGGGCACTGATCTTGTATCTGCTGCCGCTCCCAGTACCTCTTTAGGGCACTGACCTTTTATTGGCTGCCGGCAGACTTGTTCCAGGGTTTCTCGTTCGTCTTGTCAGTTTCTCTTTCTCTGCTCCAGCAGACCTTCTTTGCTCACGTTCCTGTCCCGGCCACCACTTGTCGCTGTTGGTTGCTAGGGGATTGAACAAAGGGGGGACGAATGCAGAAATGAAGACAAAGACAAAGAGATCTGTTTTGAAAGAAGGGGTCAGGGAGCTCCTTGCTTCTAGTGAACAAGGGCCCTGAGCTTCTACAGCCCTTCGTATTTATTAGGTAGAAAGAGAAGGGAGGGAGAGGTAATGGTTGGTCAGCTGCTTGATTTATTACAGGTACACACAATAGCTTTCTTTGTACAACAGGCTTCAGATGTTCCTATAGATAATCACAAGGAACACAGCACTTGGGGTGTGACTGCCCTCAGCACCCCTTCGGGCAGCAGACACCGTTGCCAGTTTTCCAACATCCTGCTTTCATGAGAACAGTTTTCTGTTCGCTCATATAGCCTCCAGTGCTATACTGTGTTGGTCATGACTCTCATTCTTTCGGCCTGTAACAAAAGTTAACATTACTGACCTTGACACCAAGTGTTGGAAACACTCTCGAGTACCTGGAGCCCTCATACCCTGCAGGTGGGAATGCACATGATGCAACCACCTGGGAAAAGAGTTTGCAGTTTCTTCAGACATGAAATGTATGCCCGCCAGAGATGATCCAGCCCCTCAGCACTTCCATATTTAGTCAAAATAATAGAAAGTTTTATGTTCACACAGAGACCTGTATGTGAATGTTCATAGCAGCTTTATTTGTAATAGCAAAAAACTGGAAACAATTCAAGTGAGTGGATTTTTTTAAAAATGTGAAATACAGGCTGGGCGTGGTGGTTCACGCCTGTAATCCCAGCACTTTGTTAAGGCTGAGGCAGGTGGATCACTTGAGGCTAGGAGTTTGAGACCAGCCTAGCCAACATGACAAAACCCCATCTCTACTAAAAATAAAAAAAAATTAGCTGGCTATGGTGGCACTAACCTGTAGTCCCAGATGCTTGGGAGGGTGAGGCAGAGAATTGCTTGAACCTGGGAGGCAGTGGTTGCAGTGAGCCAAGATCATGCCACTGCACTGCAACCTGAGTGACAGAGAGAGACTCTGTCTCAAAAAAAAAAAAAAAAAAAAAGTGAAATACTCATGCAATGGAATACAACTTGCAATAAAAGGGAATGTTCTACTGATATACCAATGATAAAATAGTTATGCTGAGTGAAAGAAACCAGCTCAAAAGCTGATTTACACTGTATGATTCCATTTATATTAGATTCTGGAAAATGCCAACTCATAGATAGTAAGAGAAAATGGATCATCCCTTAGCTAAGGCTGTCACAACAAAATACCACAGACTGGGTGGCGTAAACAACAGAAACGTATTTCTCATAGTTCTGGAGGCTGGAAGTCCGAGATCAAGGTGTTGGCAGGTTCAGTTGAGCCTGAGGCCTCCCTCCCTGGCTTGCAGGTGGCTGCCTTCTTGCTACCCCTTCTTGCGGTTGCCCCTCTGTGCTCGCATGCCTTGGTGTCTCCCTGTGTGTCCTCATCTCCTCTTCAGAGAACGATACCAGTCAGATGGCATTAGGACTTACCCTAACAAACTCATTTTAACTTAATTGCCTCTTGAAAGGTCCTATCTCCAAATATAGTCACATTTTGAGGTACTGGGGACTAGCATATCAACATATAATTTTTAGGGGTCCACAGTTCAGTCCCTAACACCTGGGGACAGAGTAAGGGGGAGGGCGGGCATGGGGATTATGAATGTGTTGACTGTCCTGATCATGGTGGTGGTGTTACCGGGTATACACATACATCAGAGTTTAACATATTGTTCTCTTTAAATATTTACAGTTTATTATGTGTCAGTTATACCTTGATTTAATCCCAGAAAAATGATATAAAAAGACAAATATGATGCTGTGATCTCTTATTATTAGATTGCTCCTGAAGCAAACTTTGAATATCAAAACTCACTACACACACCGTCAGCGTGAGTAGGGTGTGGTCCAGCAGGAATTGGCACACAGCAGAGGCTGGGATGCATCAGACATAGCCAGACTTCAACAGGGGTAGGGAGGGTGAGATTGGGAAGCTGCTGGAAGACAGGAAACGGCCAGAGAGGGAAGAGCGGAGGTGGAGGGCGCTGGGCCTGGCTGCAGAGAGCCAGGAATCCGGGGCTCTCCAGAAGTGGCTCAGCGAGGGGGCCACCAGCTCAGCCGCCGAATCACTCCAGAACAGGCGGTAAGGAGTTCACCTCGGCTGTGGCCGAGACTCAGAAAAGAGCTAGCCTAGCCCGAGGAGAGCGGAATGCTATCGAGTGTGCTAAGCTGTGCCATGCAACTGATGATTGCAAATTCCCTCCTTAGTCTGCTCCTCAGAATTTCTCACATGGTAATAATTCAGTAACTTCTCTTTAGAAGATAATTCATGTAATATTTTGGATGCTGACCAGACAGTCTTGGACCCCAAGGCAGAGGCTCCTTAATTCCTAGGTGGAGAAGCCTTAGGGCCACAGCCAGAGCTGGGCCATCCATGGAAGGGGTGAACCGTGTTCTGCTTTGTATGTTTAGGCACACAAACTGCAGTCTCAGAATGGACAACCACAACAGCAAGCCTGGCTTTCACAGCTGCAGCCACCCAGAAGACCAGCAGCCCCCTCACCAGGTAGGTGGAGCCAGGTCCCACCACTTTCGCACAGGCCTGGCCCCATGGCCTCTCCTCTAACAGGGGTTGCCAGATACAACAATAGCATGCCCAGTTACACTGCAATTTCAGACAAACAACAAAACATTTTTTAGCATAAGTATATCCCAACTATTTCATGGGCTATACTTATACTAAAAAAGCATATGTTGTTTATCTGAACTTCAAATTTAACTGAGCATTCTATGCTTTTATTTGTTAACTCTGATAGCCCTGTTTTCTGGGGGTACTCAGGCTGGGACCCCCATAGGCCCCTGCTGTTTCGTCTTTGTATCAGTAAAGTCACTGCAAACCTCCGATGGCCTGCCCCAATCTCAGTTTACCTTTGAGGAAAATAAGATTTCCCATCTAAGTGTTGGCTACATGAAGGCAAACTCTGCAGCACAGACATGAGCCACCACATGACTGAAGGTGGCAGGAGAGGGGCCTGAACATGCCCTCCCCACCTCCTGGGGTCAAGAGGGCATATCGAGGTTTGGCCTTTAGTGGGTTAGGAGAGACACCTCTCTCATCTGCTCCTAGTTTCTGCCCAAGAACAAATATTGTTCCAGCCTCTCTCTCCCAAGACACCAGAGTAGGGGAATGGAAAATGCTAGAGGGAAAGGGGGAAGCTGGAAGTTTGGCGTTCTCACCCTCCCAAGCTGGCAGAGGGGTCTGGAGGATTAGTCTGATGCTCACCAGCCCTGGAGGTGTCCAGAGGAGTCCCCAGAGGTCGGCACCTGATAGCTAGCCGTTGGGTTCCATCACGGCCTGCTGTGGTCAAGCCCCCCAGGTCAAGGCCAGAGCCCAAACCACAGACCGTCCTGCTCCTGCTAGAGCCCAGCGCAGAGGCCCGTGTCTCTGGCTCAGTCCTCCTGGAACTACTCCTCAAGGTCTGCCAGTTCCCTCTGCAGTTCAACTCTGTTTTTTTTTTTTTATTCACTCGATCTTGAGTTCTGAGAATGCATCTGCAGAGCTCCACCCACGGAGCTGGCTTTAGGACTCCTCGACTGTTTTTTTTTTGTTTGTTTTTTTCCTCCTCCATGCTTTTGTGCAAACTGATGGGACTTTAGCTGTCAGGGGACAGAGGGCAAAGGACTCCAGAGGTGTAGCAGGAGAGCCCCAAGAGTGAAGATGCTGGGAAGGACCTTTGGGGGCATTTTGACCCGTGGCCTGCTGTATAGCCCCTCCTCCATCTCCCCCAAATACCCTCAGTCCCATCATCTGAGGGCTCATCCGGCATTCTGGAGTTGGATATAATTTTGAATTTTCTTTTCTGTCTTTTTTTTTTTTTTTTTTAGAGATGGGGCCTCAATATGTTGCCCAGGCTGGTCTTGAACTCTTGGGCTCAAGCAATCCACCTGCCTTGGCCTCCCAAAGTGCTGGGATTACACGTGCGAACCACCACGCCTGGCCTGATTTTTAAAATTTATCCGTGAGCTGAGAGTGGCTTCAAGTTGCGCTGAGGTGAAAGAAACAACGAAGGCCCAAGTTGGGAGGTCGAGACCCTGGGAAGTGGGTGGAGGATGGTGAGGGGGTGGAATTGATGGTCAATAAGGTTCTGGGCCTTACACATCCATAGAAAGTAACAGGGAACATAAGGAACCCCAGGGCCAGGTGCTGGTCCACAGGAAGAGGGTCAGAGCAAGGTCAGCCTCCAAGGCCTTCAAGAATATGATGTCAGATCTGATACCTGAAAGGTGGGTAGCGTTTGCACAGGCAGCGATGAGGGCGGAGAGGCCCTCTGGGTGCAGAATGCAGCAGAAGCCGAGGTAAGTAGAGACAGGGAATGCTAAACCCCTTCAAGATAGGTGAGGAGGAGTTATGGGAGACCAGCCAAAAAGGCCGGATGGGAGTTGGCAGACGGGACCTTGAATGCCAGGCTGAGTTTACTGGAGGTGTAGGGAGGACTGGGAGCCTCGCTGGTGAGCAGTGTGACTGTGCCCCACCAAAGGGGCTGGCCTGTCTGGGGTTCCAGGCTTACCCTCACATAGACATTGGAAGCCAGGATCTGGGCATAGAGCTGAGAAGACCTGAGACCTCTGACCCAGGAGGCAGCTCATTTCCTGTCACCGTGTTCCCACAGGTCCCCGCTCAAGAGCACCCACTTCCTGTTCCTGTTCCTCCTGGAGCTGCCTCTGCTCCTGAGCATGCTGGGGACCGTCCTCTGGGTAAACAGACCACAAAGAAGGTCTTGAAGGAGGAGGAGTCAGCCCGATGATGAGAGTCCCAATGCCCATTGACGTCCTGTCCAGGGCGAAAGGCCCTCCCACAGAAGAAAAAACATTTTCTTTTCTCTTCTTTTTTTCTTTCTAGAGATAGAGTCTTGCTCTGTCACCCAGGCTGGAATGCAATGGTGTAATCTCTGCTCACTGCAACTTTCCCCTCCCAGGCTCAAGCGATCCTCCTGCCTCAACCTCCAGAGTAGCTGGGGCTACAGGCACATGCCACCACCCCCAGCTAATTTTTAAATTTTTTTGTAGAGATGGGCTTCCACCACGTTGCCCAGGCTGGTCTCGAACTCTTGACCTCAAGAGATCCTCCCGCTTCGCCTCCCAAAGTGGTGGGATTACAGGTGTGAGCCACCGCACCTGGCAGAAAAACAACATTTCTATGGGGAATTGACTGTGGTTCTAGAGGCAGTGCTGGCCCCAGCTTCAGGGAACAGCCTCCTAGTCCCCTATCTCCTGCAGCCGTGCCACCTGGGGCTATTCCCTTCTCTGCACAGTCCCTGGGGCCTGACAGAGCCCTTCTTCCTTCTGAGGTCTCCAATGCAGTAGAAAACATGAGAAGAATGTGTTTCCCCCGAGAGGCACCTATGCCGTAGTGGACATTCGTGATCTCAGGTCTGTGAGCCACATGCAATGTTAACGGACCTGTCTTTGCATTCCGTGGGGTTCAAGTCTCCAGTCAATAATGGGTTTCAAAATCCTAAACCCATGAAAACAGAAAAACGGAACCAAACTCTGGTAATGGGCCAACTTAAGGGAAGATGAGTACAGAAGAGAGCAGAGGTTTCCGGGCTGCCGTGCCAGCTGCTCTCCTGCCACTTGTGGGGAAGGGAAGTCAGGAGATTCCTGGATGAGTACGATTGAAGATGATGGGAAAACACAGCCTCCTTTCGTCACTGTAAGACTTTTCTATTAGTGTTGATTGTTACATTTTCTTACCTCTTTTAAGAGTATTGCAGTTGGCTGCTACTCTCAATTTGGGGTATATGGGGAGATCACCCATACATTTTGGGGACTGTGACATAATCCATAAACTGGATGCCAGAGCTAGAACTGTGAGCTGGGGATGGCTGGGTCCTCAGTACCGCCTGCCTGGGTCCCCAGGGTGGTGCTCAGTCTTGGACTCTAATGACTGAGCCCCCTGCCCAGTGGGATCATCTGGTGGTTAAGACAGAGGCTAAATAACAGAAATTCCCTTCTGGGAACATGAACCAGGATCACCCAACTGCCCTCTGTCAGGTCAATCTCTGTACCCAGGTGAGACCCTTATTCACTCCCCACCATCATTCATTCCAAAATGCTGGGCGCAGTGGCTCACTCCTGTAATCCCAGAACTTTGGGAGGCCGAGGTGGGTAGATCACTTGAGGCCAGGACTTTGAGACCATCCTGGCCAACATGGTGAAACCCCATCTCTACTAAAAGTACAAAACTTAGCTGGGTATGGTGGCGCACACCTATAATCCCAGCTACTTGGGAGGCTGAGACATGAGAATCTCTTGAGCCTGGGAGGTGGAGGTTGCAGTAAGTCCAGATTGCACCACTGCACTCCAGCCTGGGTGATTGAGGGAGACTCTGTCACAAAAAATACATAAATAAAAATAAAAAATAAGCGAAAACATTTACTAAGCATCCACTAAGTATCAGGCACTGTTCAAGTACAACTATCACCGAAATAAAGAAAAAGACCTGGGTAAGTGCCGTGAAGGCAGTCTACAGGCTCAAAGATAAAGGATCACTCAGCTAGAAAATGATGAAATCATGGTTATTATCCAGACTCCCCCACCCCCAGCCTCACCCTTCATGAGCTCTGCCGCCCCTCTCTGGGCTGACCCATGTCCTGTCTGCTGCCCAGGCTCTGACCAGCGCTGCTCCCAGCCCCCACCCAGTGTGGACACCCCACCAACTCATAACACTCTCTGAGCTCCCACGTTCTCATCTTGTTTTTAACAACATTATTGAATCTTTCTATTGACTCTCTGCAGCAAAAGATGAGGACTTCTGTATCTTCCTCTTTTCCCACCATCCTCTTCCCCGTACTAATATTGTCAGTATGGTGGTTTTTGTATTGATGATATTCATTGTTGGTTTTTTTGTTTGCTTGTTTTTTTTTTTTTTGAGACGGAGCCTCGTTCTGTCACCCAGGCGGGAGTGCAGTGGCGCGATCTTGGCTCACTGCAACCTCTGCATCCTGGCTTCAAGCAATTCTCCTGCTTCAGCTTCCCGAGTAGCTGGGAATACAGGCACATGCCACCACGCCCAGTTAATTTTTGTATTTTTAGCAGAGACGGGGTTTCAACATATTGATCAGGCTGGTCTCAAACTCCTGACCTCAGGTGATCCACCCGCCCCGCCTCTGGTAACTGTTTTTAAAAGTGCAATCTAGCCACAGTGAATAGGGACAAGAGTCAGACTGGGGAGCTCTTGTGCCTGTTCAAGAGGGAAGGCCCTGTGGTAATCAGGGAGAAAGAGGGGGGTGGGAGGGCAATGGAGAAAAGTGGACAGATCTGAGGGTCTTGGGTTAACACAATGGCTGGGGCACGAGCAAAAGATGAGCCAAGGATGTTGCCCAGGTGACTGGAGTTTGGTCTGAGAAAAAGGGGACCATGGGTGTAATTTACTGTGATGAGAAGAGGATCAGGCTGGGGAGTTTGCAGGAGGTCAAATCAAGAGTTTCCTTTTGGGGGCCGGGCGCGGTGGCTCACGCCTGTAATCCCAGCACTTTGGGAGGCCGAGGCGGGCGGGTCACGAGGTCAGGAGATCAAGACCATCCTGGCTAACACGGTGAAACCCCGTCTCTACTAAAAATACAAAAAATTAGCAGGACGTGGTGGCGGGCGCCTGTAGTCCCAGCTACTTGGGAGGCTGAGGCAGGAGAATGGCGTGAACCCGGGAGGCAGAGCTTGCAGTGAGCCAAGATGGCGCCACTGCACTCTAGCCTGACTCCGTCTCAAAAACCAACAAACAAACAAAAAAACAGAGATGTAATCCTTGCCCTTAGAGAATCACAGTTTGGCAGATACACGTGTTCTACCTCCACTCAAGGTGATTTTGCCCGCCAGGATGAAGGCACAAGCAGCAAGCTGCCTAGATTACTTCAAACTCCCTTCCCAGAGCACCAGGAGAGAAAGCATCTGCTTTATCCCAGCCTCAAGTTCCTGGTTTCTGGTGTCTCCTTCTAAGCAACAAGGTCTAAGTGGCAAGGTCTAAGCAGCTTGGCAAGACAATCGGGACATTTAGCCTCATGACTTCTCAGCTTCAGACTCCAATCACAGCCGCCGGGGAGCCATAGGTCACCAAAACCAGCAGCTCAACGTGACTGTGCTTTACTTGTCTTATTCTTCCCCTTCACGACCTCAATCTTTGTCTTTCCAATTCCTCCCCAGATCTACTAGCAAGAGGCAGTTAACCAGATCAACATCCTCATTCTTATGGTTGAAAGAATGCAAATCGATTCTCATTCTGCCATTTTCCTTTCTTATTTTGTCGAATATCTCAAAGTTTCTCTTTCCTGTCAAGACTAGCTAATTTGCACAATTGCGTCTAAATTTACTGATTTAATTCTTTCTATAAGCTAACTTCTCTGTTCTTGCTACCCATATAAGAGATTCTTTCTCTAGTCAATACTCAATAATCAATAACATTCATAGACATGTAGTGGGAATATATTTGAATAAACACTGTGGTATTGATGGATAAAGGGTCTAATGTAGCAGAAACTAATTACAAAAATGATAGCAAACAAATAAAGCAAAATCGAATATCCATGACAAATCCAAAAGCAATTTCCTTGGAAAGATGTTGACAAGTCTAATGAAATGAAAGATATATGATGTTGATCTCTGTAACTGAATTAACTTGGACATCTTCCCAACAAGATCACTATTTGAGTAGAATTTCTTTTCTTTTTCTTTTTCTTTTTCTTTTTTTTTTTTCTTTGAGACAGAGTCTCAATCTGTCGCCCAGGCTGGAGTGTAGCGGCATGATCTCGGCTCATTGCAACCTCCAACTCCCGGGTTCAAGCGGTTCTCCTGCCTCAGCCTCCCGAGTAGCTGGGATTACAGATGTGCACCACCACGCTCAGCTAATTTTTTGTATTTTTAGTAGAGATGGGGTTTCATCATGTTGGCAAGGCTGGTCTCGAACTCCTGACCTCAGGTGATTGGCCTGCCTTGGCCTCCCAAAGTGCAATGATTACAGGCATGAGCCACTGTGCCTGGCCACTATTTGAGTAGAATTTCTCACCTCATTTGCCGTACTCCCTCCTGTACCTGTGGGACCTAGTACTCCTGGGTAAACACTCTTTTTCACTGGAAGCTAGCTTGATGGTACCTTACCCCGCTTCCCTATCATCACAACAGGTGGCTCTCCCCTCTGTTATCATATTGCACTAAAATTCAGTCAAACTTTCCATCTCTTATTGGGGGTACCCAATACCACTCCCAGGTTTAATGATTCACTAGCATAACCATGAAAAGGAGGTCTAGAATAACAAACTCCATTTTGCTCCTGACCACACCCCTACCCTGCAATATCTTTAGCATATAACCCAAACTAACTGTGGGAGGAATTTAGTGTATAGTTTAACTTTTTTTCTTTTCTTTCTTTCTTTCTTTTTTTTTTTTGAGATAGAGTCTCGCTCTGTTGCTCAGGCTGGAGTGCAGTGGCGCGATCTCGGCTCACTGCAACCTCTGCCTCCTGAGTTCAAGCAATTCTCCTGCCTCAGCCTCCTGACTAGGTGGGACTACAGGTGTGCACCACCACACCCGGCTAACTTTTGTATTTTTAGTAGAGACAAGGTTTCACCCTGTTGGCCAGGCTGGTCTCGAACTCCTGACCTCAGGTGATCTGCCTGCCTTGGCCTCCCAAATTGCTGGGATTACAGGCATGAGCCATCACACCTGGCTATAGTTTCACTTTAAAGCAAGGATGATAATAGTCCCTTTGCAACACCCCTGAAGCAATAAGGAAGACATACACACAGTAACAATGTTATGCTAACGATTTATAGGAGCATTGTGACCTGACCAAGAACAAAGAAGTTAATGCAACCTCCTCAGCTGACACCCAGATGTCTGTGGTCACCTGTCACTACCCGGCTCAACCTCCTCCTTGTTCTGCCTTCCCCAATATAAAAAGAAGCTTGAGGTTCATGCCTTTTATGATTGCTCTTTAGGACATGAGTCCACCATCTCTTTGGTTTGCTGCCTTGTAAAGCCATCTTCCTTGCCCCAACAGCTTGTCTCTCGACTTACTGGCTGTTGCTTGGCAAGCAGTTTGAGCTTTGGACTCGGCTACACTAGAAGGACTCAGAACTCAGAAAAGCTGTTATATGCATGGTTATGGTTTATTACACTGAAAGGATATGGATTAAAACCAGTAAAGGTAAAAAGTGCGTGGTGCAAGCTGCCAGCTGTCCTCTCCCAGTGGGATTTTGCAGACAGTGTTTAATTCTCCCATCCTAGCAACAATGTGTGACAACACACACAAAGTGCTCCATCCAGGGATGCTCACCCAAGCCTTGGTATCCAGAGAGTTCACTGGGGTCAGTCACATAGTCATGGAACACCTGTAGAACTGACCTCAGTGCCTAAGTCGCCAGAGATCAAATTAAAACTACATAGCTCAAAGTTCCCCCTACCCACCCATGAATTACATTGATAGCATCAACCATCTAGCATGGCTAGAAGCCCCCACCATAATCACATGGTTAACATGAGCTATCCAGCATGGCATCAAAGCCCCCAGATAAAAAAAGACAATCTAACCAGGCAGGATATTCCAAGGGTTTAGAGCTTATCTCCTAGAAGCAAAGCAAGGGCTAAACTTTTTTCGGGAAGGTGCAGGCTTTGGACAACCTAAGCCTGCTGAGTTAATATTTTTCCTGCATACATCCCTGCAATTGTAGCAGAACTGAGTTTCAAGCAAATGGGTTTCAAGGAATGACCAAAATGCAGCAGTGTTCTACCATTGACTATAATGCATTGCTGCTGGATTTTGGTCATTACTGAGAACCTCAGCCATTAGTTATTACTGAGAACCACAGCCATTAGTTATTACTGAGAACCACAGCCATTAGTTATTATTGAGAACCACAACCATTAGTTATTACTGAGAACCACAACCATTAGTTATTATTGAGAACCACAGCCATTAGTTATTACTAAGAACCACAGCCATTAGTTATTACTGAGAACCTCAGCCATTAGTTATTACTGAGAACCACAGCCATTAGTTATTACTGAGAACCACAGCCATTAGTTATTACTGAGAACCACAGCCATTAGTTATTACTGAGAACCACAGCCATTAGTTATTACTGAGAACCACAGCCATTAGTTATTATTGAGAACCACAGCCATTAGTTATTATTGAGAACAACAGCCATTAGTTATTACTGAGAACCACAGCCCTTATGGAGTAACAGAGAGCTCCTCTGATTTCCTGGTCCGTCTACTAAAAAGACAACTGTGCTGAAGTGTTCATCCTCCTCATATTGGAACCAGAGCCTCTAGTACCCATCAGGACCCTGCAGGGCCTCAGTCTTGTTCACCAGTGTAGATAGCAGTGCCTGGCACAAGTCACCTGCTGGATGGAATGAGAACACATGGCATGCGGTTCTAAGATGACTCTCCTGCCTGCCCGCTCTCCCTTGACCCAGAGACAGGAGGAGCTGTATAATGTGGGTTTCCTTTATCTTAGTTAATAACAACCTTATTGCTGGGATTGGATCCTTCCAAGAGTATGTATCCACTCAGGTCTAGTGCCCATTCTAGGTGGGCACTAGAAGGTATGCAGAGAATTAGGTGCTTATAATATTGTGGAAAGGGCCGAAGAAGCAGCTCCTAAGCTTGTCCCTCCCTCCTCCCTCACATCCAGAACAGCCTGCTTTTGAGGCCCCTAGGGTCAAACAGGGAGCATGAAGTCTTGGTATCTGCCAAGCAACTGCCTTCCACATCCAGGAAGCTAGAGAATAATTTTATGAAGCTGCAATCCAAGGAATCTTCCTAATGGAAGTCAGATGAAGAAGTTGTCACTGCCCTCACTGCTTCTTGTCACCCAGGAAGCTAGAAAACATATCCTGGAACTCTGCTTCATGAAAGTCTCCTGTTTCTTCTAATCCTTGTTTGCCAACAGCAGTGGCTAAGAGCTGTGGAAGATAACCTCTGTCTAACTGGGCCTTTCAAATGGCCTCAGAGACACCTCAGTTGGTGGAATCCAGTTGTCATCCAAATCCCTGATTTCCAAATGAGGAAAGTGACAAGAAGCCTCACTGTTTCTGCAAAGGTCTTGCCCCAGACAGGGCTCCTCCAGGGAGAAGGAGCACAGGTGACTCATGCTGAAAAGCCAGAACGGTGAAGCATTGGGACAGACACCAGGACGTTGTCTCAGTCAGCTCAGGCTGCTGTAACAAAATACCATAAACCGAGTGGTTTATAAACAAGGGACCTTTATTTATTATAGTTCTGAAGGCTGGGAAGTCAAGATCAAGATGTTGGTAGATTTGGTGTTTGGTGAGGACTCTCTTCTTGACTTGCAGATGGCTGCCATCTTTCTGTATCCTCGTATGGCAGAGAGAGTGCTATGGTCTGAGTGTTTGTGTTTCTCCAGAATTCATGTGTTGAAACTTATTCCCAGTGTGTTGGTATTAGGAGGTGGATCCTTGGGGATAATTCAGTTGTGGGGGTGTAACCCTTATGAACAGGATTAGTACCCTTGTAAAAGAGACCCCAGAGAGCTGTCTTGCCCCTTCCACCATGTGAAGACACAGCAAAAAAAAGTACTCTTTATGAACCAGAAGGTGAGTGCGCAACAGACACTGAATCTGCTAGCACTTTGATCTTGGACTTTCCAGCCTCCACAACTGTGAGTAATGCATTTCTGTTGTTCATAACCCACCCAGTCTATGGTATTTTAAAATAGCAGCCTAAATGGACTAAGAAAGAAAGTGAGATCTCTCTTCTTCTTCTGATAAGGGCACTAATCCCACAATGAAGGCCTGATCCTCATGACCTCATCTAACCCTAATTACCTCCCACAGGCTCATTTCCTAATATCACCACATTACGGGTTAGGGCTTCCACATATGAATTTTTGGGGGAACTCATCAATCCATAGCAGACACCCAGAAGCAGACTTTGTTGTGTTGTTAATTTCCCCTGAAGATACTTCCTGCTATTCTGCAAACAGATATTGAATGAAATAAGACTTGGAGGCCTCTTCCACTTGCCATCTCTCAACCCATCTCACCCCTGCCTGAGTGTTGCAATCCGTACCTTGCATCATGAGAGCCAGAGGTGGGACCCCACCGAAGACCTGGGTTCAAATCCTGACCTCCCCACTTCCCATCATGACAGTTTAGTTCGTCTTTCCAGCTCCAGTCATCTTATTTAAAAGTGACCTGGCAGGGGTGTTGGGATGGGTATGCAGGATTTAAATATACAGAGTGCATGGTACGTAGAAGATCAAAAGAGGAAAGTTTCCCAGAGGGATGCCACCACCTTCAAATGCCTTTGCTCAACTCCTGGGACTGAGCAGGGTGAATATTTTTATTCCTATTTCACAGATGAGGAGACTGATGCTAAGAGACTTTTGCTGATTTGCCTAAAGTCATATAACTAGTGAACAGCAGACCTTAAAATCTGAGCCAGGGCTCCCAGCTTATGGCCAGAACCTTCCTCACTGTGCTACATGGCCCACATCATCAGAGTCAGGTAGAGACCCTCTCTGAGCCGGGCTCCCTATAGCACCCCAGCCCCCATGTTGGGAAGACCCTCCCCACACCCTGCTCCCTAGAGAGCCCTGTATTTGTAACAAGATCCCAAAGAGGCATCCATTGCCCAGAGCCGGTCAGGAGGCTGCCCTCTTGGTGACGTCTCCCTTGAGTGCCAGTGGGGAGGGAAGAAAGTGGGCAGTGGGGTCCACCATCCTTGGGCACTTGCCCATTCTCACCATGATGCACAAGATACTGAGAACTACTCCCCAAATGGATTGACGTCGGGTAGTAGAGGTGAGAGAAGAGAGGCCCAATGCCTTAATACATTCCTGATCCCCTCCCCTGGAAAATATGGAAGGATCGGAGCTCTCACCCTCCAATTCAGCTCACAAGGCTGGGGCCGAGCTCTGTCTGCGTCTCCGGGTGCCCAGATTGGTCCTGCCTTTGTGGAGGCTACAGCCTCACCTGGAAATGGATGCCATGCAACAGGACAATGACAGCACAGGGACATGAGATTAAATACAGAAATAAGCATTGCAGGTAACAGGAACCCCAGAGGGAGGGGTCTGGAAGGCCTGGAGCAGGCAGGGATGCCTTCCAGGAGAGGTGTGGTCTGAGCTCATCCTGGGAGAGTGAGAAGGGAGGATGACGGTTTTCGAGGAAGCAGAAAGACAAGCACAGCCCCGAAAGGCAGAGAGAAATGTGTGGGCTACTCACACTGTCCTACACATCACATGCCCCGAGTTTGCCCTAAGAACGCACCCCTCACTGATGAGATCTTAACTTTCTGGAAGCCCCAAGAGCTGTCCCTCAAGGGCAGCGATGGTGGGGGTCTCAGTGTGGTGCAGTGCCAGGCAGGGCCCCGGGCTCCCCGCCCTCCTGTGCCTCATGGCCAGTGTTCATTATTCTCAGTCCTCCCCTAGCTCTGCCCTCCTGGAGCGGACAGCATTTTCCAGGACAGGTTTCAGAGACAGAAGGACAAGGGCCTGCTGGGGAAGGGACAGCGGCTCCAGATGCTGGCCTTGACATGGAAAAAGCCTGGATGTCCCAGATGTGGGTCATCTCTTCAAGGAATTTGTCATCTCCTGGGGGACTCCAGGGCCCAGAGTACATCTGCTTCAAAGGTGGGTTCCCTGTGGCATTGCCATGTCCTTTGCATTTGGCAAACTGTCTGGTCCTAGCTAAAAAAATGAAACACACACAGGCTGTTTCTAAGCAGACCCTGCAGCCTCTCCCTGCCCCGACCTTGGATGAGCGAGAAGCACGGAGTCGGTGTGCTGCGGGGCACCCTTCCAGCCCGGTTAGGGAACCTCCAGTAGTGGGTTCTGTGGTTGTGGTCAGTGACTTGCCGCCTTGTCCTGTAAGAGGACTGTGCTTCTCCTTCCCACTGACTTCAGGCTTGACCCTATGACGATGAACGGTGAGCAGGAGCCGCATGTGCGCCTTCTGAGCAGAGGCTCAGAGAGCCACCCGGTGCCTTCCCTCTCCTCTAGCGGACTGGGCTCCGCAGCCTGGTGCCCAAGCAATGCTGACTCACCGCTTGCGTATAGACGAGCGAGAAACAAGCTTCTGTGGTTACAGCATGCTGGGATTAGGAGTTTTGCTATGGCAATGTGAGCCAGAAAGAGCTGACTAATACAACCCTGTGCACCCGGTGGTTTGTCCAGACAAGGATGGCGAGAATGTTTTCTGGAAAAGTCTGCAGCTGTGCGTCATCTCCTTCACAGACTCAGATCCCTTCTTCCCAAGAAAGGCACGTTGAGCAGCCCTTGACGCAGAGTCAGGGAGGGCCAGGCAAGCCTTTCCTTAGCGCCCAGAGCTAGGCACAGAGGGCGGGGCTCGCAACCGGCTCTGCAGGCTGCAAGGGGAGACATCTTTATCACTCCCAGCTCCTGCTTCCCCTCCACACACATGCACGCACCAACCCACACACCACACATATACACCACATGTACACACACACACACCCATACACCTCCCCACGCCCACACATGCACACACCACCCCACACACCACACACATACGCCACATGTAGACACACACCACCCACACCCCCCACACATGCACACACATACACACACCACACACATACACCACATGTACACACACACCACCCACACCCTCCACGCCCACACATGCACACACATACATACACTACACACATCACCCCACATACCACACACATACACCACACACCACCCCACATACCACACACGTACACCACACATGGACACGCACACACCACATACACTCCCACACATGCACACATATACACACTACACACACCACCCAACACACCACACACACGTACACACATACACACTACACACATCTCATCTCATACACACCACTCACATCACACACACCACACACACATTACACACACCCTACCCCACATACTGTACATATACACCACATGTACACACATCTCACACCACACACGTGCACACACATACACACTACACACACACCACCTGTGCACACACACCACACACACATGCAAACACACACACTACATGCACCCCACCCCACACATCACACACATACACCACATGTACACACATACACACACTACACACATCCCACCCACACCACACACACCACTCACACCACACACACGACCCCAAACACCACACACATACACACACACTACACACATCTCACACACACCACTCACACCACACATACACACACACTACACACACACCATCCCACACACCATGCACATACATCACATGTACCTACATACACACATACCACACATACTACACACACTACCCACACCACACACACTACACATATATCCCTCATACCACACCCATATACACACATGTGAACACACACAGAAATATGAGGACTCCACATGCAGCAAAAAATGAACAAGCAGGAAACACATTTACTGAAACACCAAGGAGGAGACATTTGATAACAGAATGCCAGGAATTTGGAGTCTCCTAGTTCCAGAAATCTAAGTCCCTGAGTGAGGCCTTCTGAAGCTGTGCTTGCATTTATAAATCCTCCACAGCCATTCTGTGTATATCAGGCACACTTCTGGCCAGGTTCCCCCGAGTTAGCTCTTGATATATTGAAACTCTTATATGTGGTCATCTTGGGCGACAGGAAGAGCCACACAGGTCAAAAGCAAGGCTTATAGATGGTCCACCAAGCTCTGCGTGGTGCCAGGTCTGTGGAAACAGTCAGGCACGTGGCCAAGACAGGGACCTCTGGGGTCTGCTGAGGTCAGAGCAAGAGTGAGGGGTTAAGAGGTCAGAGCCTCTGAGGTTGCACCCAGCCTATCTGTACCACCAAGGATCAGAGATAGACCAGCGGGCATCGTGGGTGTGCCCCTACCCTGTGCAGTCTCGCAGGCCCGGCTCTTAGAAGGGTCCCACGTTTCATGCTTGGCTGTCACCATCTTGAAATTCTTAATAATTTTGGAAACCTAGGTTTGATTTTACACTGGGCTCTGCAAATAGCCAGTCTCATCCATCCAGTGAAGGCTGAGCCATACCCTGGGGCGGCTCATGCTGGCCACAGAAAACTGGCCATTCACAGAGGGGAGGACCTGCCCAGAAAATCCAGATGGCAGCTGGCCCAGTCTCACTGGTCCTGGGCCATGCTGTGATTTGGAGAAGGGCAGGCCTGTCAGCTGTGGGTAATGGGAGGGACATTGTCTTTACTGGGAACAGAAAGAGGAACAGCAAATGCAAACATGTTTTATTAGGAAGAACTTCAGCAAGTTCTCAAAATTGTTTCACCTGACCACATAGTGCCCCATGGCCCCAGCTTCCTCCATACTCTCACCAGCTCTGAGAACCAAACCCAGAAGAGGCCAGAGAAGGAAACGAGAGATGTGAGAAGGAAAAAGAGCCTCAGACCCTGCTGCCACAAGGGACTTCCATGCTGGTGAGATGACCCAGAGGGCTGGGGCTGCCATGCTGCCTTCAGCTCTGCTCCTTCTCTGTGTCCCAGGTGAGCAGGGCAGGTCCTGGGTGCAGGGAGGTCTGCTCTGGCGGGTCAGGGTGAGGCAGGCATGAGAAAAGGCTGGCGAGGGGCAAGAGGAAGAAATGATATCAAGAAAGAGGGAGTGAGGTGTGCATAGAAGCTTCTCAAATCTCCTTATCGGGATAGGGTGGGGATTAAACGGTAAACTGCTTCCCACACAGTAAGCCCTAAGTAGATTTGGCAACTTTAATCATTATTACCGTCATTATTAAGATCAGGAATGCCACCACGATCCATCAGAGAGAAGGGGGAATAGGGGACAGAAAACCAGTACTTACTAGGCTAATCACTGTAATACATATCTTGTTTCCCACTATCTCATTTAATTCTTATTGCAATCCTGATGAAAACAAGAGACCGAAGCTCGCTCTTAGAGGTGCAAATAATTTAGATTAAACAGTTTATAAAAGGCACAGTCAAGGTCCAAACCTAAATACTTTTATTTCCAAGATCATTGCTCCTTCTCTAATTCAATGTCAATGTCTGCTGCGCCTCCTTGTAAAGCTTCACTTACATATCTGGAGGCATATGCTGCATCCCCACGTGGGAACCCTGGGTGTCCCCACAGGTCTGGGCTGGCCCCAGGGCTGCTACTTAATGGGCCCCCAGAAGGGTGAGACAGCTGGGAACCTGTGGTCAGCCCTGGTCCGAGAGTTTCCGTAAATGATGGTGGAGGGAGAAAGTCAGTTTCTTTGCAAGGCTGGGTAGGCGGGAAGCTCCGTAAAAGATGGTGGGGGTGGAGGTGGAGGAGGCTGCCCATGTTGGCTCAGAGTCAGGGTCTGGACTGAATATCCAAGGAGAGGGAGGCTCTGTGGTGGGATTCAGTGTGTGCCCCACAATGTTTTTGCTCCTTGTGGAATTAGCCCCAAATCATTAAGAGAGAAGTTTAAGGACCTGAAAGAGCAGGCTAACAGCGCCCCCAGAGCCTGAGCTGAGAGCAGCAGCGATTTCAGGAGAGGACTGGGTGTGCCCACCCCTTCCTTGCTCCTAAGCCTGTGCCTGGCAGGCAGTTAGCTCCCTGGGAAAGCTCGTGGACCTCAACACTGTGGACATTTGGGGCTGCGTTATTCTGTGTGTTGGGGGCTGTCCTGTGCATTGTAAGATGTTTAGAAGCATCCCTGGCCTCTACCCACCAGATGCCAGCAGCAATTCCCCACCCTAAGTTGGGACAACCAAAAATATCTGTAGTCATTACCAAATGTTCTCCCGCCCGCCCCCCTGCCCCCCCGCCCCCTCCCCGCCCCCCTGCCCCCCAGGTGAGAATCACTGCTTCAGAGAGGCAGACAGCTTTCTAATGCAGAATAGGTCAGTGGGCCACTCGAGCCTGCTTTCTGGGAAATAAAGTGAGAAAACGTGAGATAAGAAAATGAAGATGCAAAAGATAAAGTTTTCCTGTTTTTTTTTTGAGACAGAGTCTCACTCTGTCGCCCAGGCTGGAGTGCAGTGGTGCGATCTCGGCTCACTGCAACCTCCACCTCCTGGGTTCAAGTGATTCTCCTCCCTCAGCCTCCTGAGTAGCTGGATTACAGGCACCCACCACCACGCCCGGCTAATTTTTTGTATTTTCGATAGGGACAGGGTTTCATCGTGTTGGTTAGGCTGGTCTCAAACTCCTGACCTCAGGTGATCCACCTGCCTCGGCCTCCCAAAGTGCTGGGATTATCGGCATGAGCCACCACACCTGGCCAGATTTTTCTTTTAATTCACAATAAAAATATAGCAAAGCCTCTCCATCAGTGGATGGCAATATATTACCTAGATGGATGGGTGGGTAGATGAAAGATGGATGGATGGATAGATAGTAGATAGATAGATAGATAGATAGATAGATAGATAGATAGATAGTTGATAGGTAGACAGATTACATCCACAATTCCTTTTCAGGAGCTTGGTATTTTGCCAAAACCATTTCTCAATAGCCGTTTTGTCCTGAGTTAACCACCTCCCTGTCAAGAGCAGATGAGACAGCAGCTGTTTAGGACTGGTGAGGCCCCCGAGGCAGGAAGCAGAGAGTTGATGGGGCTGGGTCCCAATCATTTGGACCCGGAGCCTGCAGAGTGGGTGGAGGAATGAGAGAGGGGACTCGAAGAGGGAGAGTAATGTCGAAATATTGGAGGGGGCAGAGGACCTGGAGAAGAGGCCCAGGACATGCCAAGGCGGGTGGGTGCTGCAGAGAATTGGGGGTGGGAAGGAAGCTCTGATGGGTGTCCCTGTGGAGCGGAGCCCTGCAGATGTTAGGCAATGGCGAGTGTTGCTGCAGGATTCTGTCCCGGGGGAAAATTCCAGGCGTAAATGTCCTTGAATCACAAGAACAACTCCTTTCTACATGGCCCCTTGATATCCCCATGGGCAGCCCCCATATTCTCTGTGACCCAGACCTGGGAGCAGGAGGCCTCATCTATATGGGCAGGGATGGCAAGTATGAGGCCCACAGATGATTTGGGAAAGGGGCAGAACCAGAAGCCCCAGGCTTCCTCCTTGCCCTCCATACTGGGCTGCTTCTGGTTTTTCCTGGTTCTCAATATTATTTCCTTTCCTATTTCATCCATCCGTCCATCCATCCATCCATCCATCCATCCATCCATCCATCTATCTCTCCAGCCATCCATTTATTCAGAGTGTACTTAGTGGCTTCATTCAATCATTGGTGTTCGATGAGGACAGGTGTTTCTTCTCAGGACTGACACTTCTGGGGGACCCAGAACCTGTCTGAGGCCACCGAGGTCAAGCCTCTCCCCCTGATATTATAAGATGGCTGAGCACACCCAGGCTGGCATGGCCTCTGGAGTCTCAGGATCCCACACCGGGCATCTCCTTGGGTCTCCCCCTGCAAATAGCCCATAGCTCCCTGGTTCCCGACTCCTCCCTCCTCCAGCCTCAGGCAACACTGGGCGTGCAGAGGACCTGACACTCAAGGTTCCACTGGTCCAGACTCTTCCAGGTGAAGACGGGGAAACGGACTTGTGTTTTCCAGGCTGTCTGACTGTGAGTGGCCCCAGCACCGTGATGGGCGCCGTGGGGGAATCCCTGAGTGTTCAGTGTCGGTATGAAGAGAAATACAAGACGTTTAACAAATACTGGTGCAGACAACCATGCTTGCCAATTTGGCATGAAATGGTGGAGACCGGAGGGTCTGAGGGAGTGGTGAGGAGTGACCAAGTGATCATCACGGACCATCCTGGAGACCTCACCTTCACCGTGACCTTGGAGAACCTCACGGCAGACGATGCAGGAAAATACCGATGTGGGATTGCAACAATACTGCAGGAAGATGGCCTGTCTGGTTTCCTGCCCGATCCCTTCTTCCAGGTTCAAGTGCTGGTCTCATCGGGTAAGAGCCTCTTTTCTCAGGCATCTGAGGCCATCTCTGCAGAGCAGCCACAGAAATTTTGGCCCAGGAGAGAAGAACTGGGCCTAGTGTGGTGCATCAGAGACTCAGGACAGAGTATGTTGTGTGAATGTGTGTGGGAAATACATGTGTGTTTGAATGAGTGGGACAGTGTAAGTGTGTTTCAGTGTGTGACTGTGAGTTGTGTGCAAACATGTGAGAGTGAGTGCAGGTGTGAAGGTGTGTGTGAAAGCAGGTGTGTGTGAATGTGTGAGAGAGCAGGTGTGTGTGAGTGTGTGTGAGTGTGTGAGGGAGCAAGTGTGTGTGAGTGTGAGTGTGTGAGAGCAGGTGTGAGTGAGTGTGGGAGTGTGTGTGAGAGCAGGTGTGTGAGTGTGTGAGTGTGTGTGAGAGCAAGTGTGTGAGTGTGTGCAAGAGCTGGTGTGTGGGTGTGTGTGAGAGCAGGTGTGTGTGAGTGTGTGTGAGAGCAGGTGTGTGTGTGAGAGCAGGTGTGTGAGTGTGCATGTGAGAGTGTGTGTGAGAGCAGGCGTGTGTGAGTGAGTGGGCGTGTGAGTGTATTTGTGAAGTTGCGTGAGTGCACATGTGAGAGTGTGTGTGCAGGTGTGAGAGTGTGTGTGAGACAGAGAGTGTGTGCTGGAGGGTAGTGGTGGTGTGTGGATACACTGGCAAGGATGGGGGTTTTGGAACCTAAGCCTAACCTTCGGCATGTTGATTTTCAGCGAGATGGGGGACACCAACATGGGAGAAGGTGGTCATCCTCTGGTCTGGGTTTATAAAATGCCCACCCGGCCCCAGAGCAGGGCATCCATTGGGATGGGGTTGGGGGGATGCTCTGTTACTCCAGTCAGGCTTTGGTCTGCCTATTGGAAGACGATGGTCCTAGAACATCTGTCCAGCTGCCTCCTTGAGCGTCCTCTGCTTTATGAAGTCAGAACCATGCAGGTACCAGGTACTCAGCTGGGAAGAGTCAGGCGTAGGGCACTGAACCTCTGTTCTTTATCCTCAGCCTCCAGTACTGAGAACTCTGTGAAGACACCTGCATCTCCCACCAGGCCCAGCCAATGCCAAGGGTAAAATGCACGTGTCCCAGTGTCTTTTGCCATGTGTGCAGCTTCTTTCCTAGGGTGGGGCTTCCTAGACACAGGTTTCCTTGATTATTCACCCACTCAACATTTATTTATTTATTTATTTTTTGAGACAGAGTCTAGCTCTATCGCCGAGGCTGGACTGCAGTGGCACGATCTCGGCTCACTGCAAACTCCGCCTCCCGGGTTCACGCCATTCTCCTGCCTCAGCCTCCTGAGTAGCTGGGACTACAGGCGCCCGCCACTAGGCCCGGCTAATTTTTTTTTTTGTATTTTTAGTAGAGACGGGGGTTTCACCATGTTAGCCAGGATGGTCTCGATCTCCTGACCTCGTGATCTGCCCGCCTCGGCCTCCCAAAGTGCTGGGATTACAGGTGTGAGCCACCGTGCTCGGCCAACAGGTGTTTATTTGTTATGCGCCAGAAACTGATGGAGATTCTAGAGATGCAACAGTGAACAAAGGGGCAAGATTGTGCTCTTGAGGAAGTTGCAAATAGGTAGATTCAGGCAATGGCCAGATGGATAGATAGATAGACAGACAGACAGGTGGACAGACAGATAGATGGATAGATAGATAGATAGATAGATAGATAGATAGGTGGATAGATAGATAAACAGACAGATGATAGATATGATATGAAAGATGATAGAGATGGCTGGCTGGCTGACTGGAAAGACAGATGGAGATGATAGCTGGCAGAGAGAGATATGTAATAGAGACAGAGAGACGATAGATCAAGGAAATATGTCAACGAATGATAATTACTGTGGAGGAAAATAAAGCAGGTGTAAAGAGATAGGGTGCCAGAGTGTGTGGGAAGCTGGTGGGGCATGATTTGGGCTATCAAGGAAATACAAGATGTTCCACAGAAACAAAGAACAAAGGGACTGTCTTAGTTTGGGTTTCCCCCAAATCAGGTCCTGAGACAAGGACTTAGGAGCAATTTGTTTATTGAGAGGTAATCTCAAGAAGTACATTGAGAGAGCAGAAAGTGAGACCAGGAAAGGGGAAGGGCGGTGAAATGTGCTGTAATGAAGGGGTTATCCCCGTAGTAACTGGAGTCACTGGAGATTAACCCCTCTGGGCACCCTATGAGAGACTGTGTAGAACGTTCCTCAGAACTGGAGACAGAGTCTTCCAGGCAGCAGGCACTCCTGGGGGCATGAATTCTGTGGCCCATCTGGCCTGCTCTGCACAGGAAAATGTGTGCACTCTTGTAGATAACCTCAGGCAGAGATGGGGAGCTTGAGCTGGGAAATCCTTGGTGGGGCCAAGACTGCCTGCAGCTGCCAGGAGCTCAAGTGGGCAAAGGTGATATGGGGCAGGGCGCCAACAGGGTTTGTTACAGGGACTCGTCTTAGAGAGGATCAGGGAGGGCATCAGACAAGCCCTGCAGGTAGAGGGCTGGGAAGGTGGAGAGATGGCACAGCGGCCCATTTTGGGGAGAGAATGCAGCATCTGAGGAGTTGGAATGGGAGCAGTGTAGTGGGACCCACGGAGCGAGACGACTGGCCATGGGCTGAGCTTGGAGAGTTCACTCCTTGGGGTTGAGATTGTTAAGCCGTTTAAGCAAAAGAGCTGTTCTTGTGATCATATTTAATTTGAGTGAAGATGGTTGTAAAGGAGTATTTCATCCTTGAGGTTGTTCCCAGCAAGAGCTGAGTTCCTGCGGGCATCAGTGGCTGAGGGATCTGTTCAGGAAGTTGTTTCTGGGAGCCAGTTCCTGCCTGGGTTAACATATCTCTCTTCTTCTCTATCCCTCACCTCCGGCATCTGTTGGGTCTTGACACTCAAGGTTAATTCTGAGCTGAATGAAGGTCAGGAGCCTGTGACCCTCAGCATGGGGCTGCCTGACCCTGGTACCCACCAGGCTTGATGCTGACATTGGGTTTGAGGGCACAGGACGAGACCTCGAGGGAAGGCGGGGGAGAGGCAGAGCCTGGGACTCCCCGGAGAAGGCAGCTTACTACTAGTCACTCTCTCCGTCTCACAGGTCCCTGCCCAGCAGCACCTGCTTCCTGCTTCTCCCACTCCTGAAGGTGCCTCTGCTCCTGAGCATACTCGGTGCTATCCTCTGGGTGAACAGGCCTTGGAGGACTCCTTGGACAGAGTCATGAACAGGAGAACTTGCAACACCCCATGCCCATTGGAACCCTGTCCAGAGACACAGCCCCTCTGACTGCAAAAAGGACTTCTGACCCTGACCCTCATATTTCTTTCCATCTTATCACCGGATACTTTTTAAAAGTTAAAAAAAAATGTAGGCCGGGTGCGGTGGCTTACACCTGCAATCCCAGCACTTTGGGAGGCCAAGGCAGGTGGATCACTTGAGTCCAGGAGTTTGAGAGCAGCCTGGGCAGCATGGTCAGACCTCATCTCTACAAAAAAATACAAAAATTAGCAGGGTGTGGTGGTGTATGCCTGTGATCCCAGCTACTTGGGAAGCTGAGACAGGAGGATCGCTTGAGCCCCGGAGGTGGAGGTTGCATTGAGTCGAGATTGTGCCACTGCACTCCAGCCTGGGTGACAGAGGGAGACCCTGTCTCAGATAAACAAATAAATAAATAAAATACATCCCATACACAAGAGTATGTATATGAGGTATCTATACAGTTCAAGGACTAAAAATAAACATGTGTACCCACCATTCAGCCTAGGAAATCAATCATTATTAAGATGTTTGAAGCCCCCCATATGCCTCTCCCTGACCTCATAACTGTCTTTCCCCTACTGTCAGGGTTAAATACTATCTGAATATTTCTTGGAGTAATCACTCCCTTGCTTTAGTGTGCTGAGCAAGGACATGGTTGTTTTTGAATCCTGCACAGAGGAAATCATACTGTTGCAAGTTCTTCTGCTCATAAACCATATTGGATTTTTTTCCTTTCCTGACAGTAGATTGTAGGGAACTCCCTACAAACAAACAAAAACAAAACAAAACTGTGATTGGGCCATCAACTGGTTCAGTTTAAGTTGGTTTACTGTTATATGATGGGACCCCTCTGAGTTTTTCAGGGACCAGGTTAATGTATTGAGGACATGTTTAAAAATGTACCTGAGGCTGGGCATGGTGGCTCCCATCTCTAATGCCAACACTTTGGGAGGCTGAGACGGGATGATTGCTTGAACTCAGCCTGGGCAACATAGCAAGACTTCATGCCTACTTAAAAAAAAAATTTAGCCAGGCATGGTGGCACGCACCTGTAGTCCCAGCTTCTCAGAAGGCTGAGGCAGGAGGAATGCTTGAGCCTGGGAGATGGAGGCTGCAGTGAGCTATGATCATACCACTACACTGTGGCCTGGGTGACACAGTGAGACCCTGTCTCAAAACAAAACAAAAAAATGTACCAGGATTTGTTTTAACCAGATATGGTAAGGCATGCAGATACGGAAATGACTGTCATAAAGAAATAAGTTTCTACTCAAAGACCCCTAGAAGCAGGAGGTGCAGTGTGCCATGTAGGGCCACACGGGGAAGCACGAGGGCGGGTGAAGGGGCAGAGAGAGAGAGAGAGGAAATGTATGTGGGAGCCTTTATCATGGTTTTCAGAGGAAGTGATAGGCAAGGTAAGGTAAGCAAACAGCAGGCTTCGGAGTGTGTAGTTTGAATTATTCTGATGGGCTAGGATACAAGAGTGGTCTCTAGTTGTCTGGTACCTGGCCCTGGGGTGATTTAGGGCAGGGGAAAGAAAATATCCCAGACTGCAGGAGCCTGCTGAAAGGAAGCAGGTGGGGGCATGGAATAGGGAATGGTTTGGTTTGCATATCAAAGGCAGACTTGCAGGCCAGTTGTTTACTTTCTCTAGGAATTAGCCCTGGGAGAGAGTTATTTGGATGGATATATTTGCCTATCTGAGTGGCTAAAATAAAAAAATAGTGACTATGTAGCAGGAAGAGCCACAGACAAAACTCCTCAGACACCGAGTTAAAGAAGGAAGGGGTTTATTCGGCTGGGAGCATCGGCAAGACTCCTGTCTCAAGAGCTGAGCTACCTGAGTGAGCAGTTCCTGTCCTGTTAAGGGCTCACAACTCTAAGGGGGTCTGCATGAGAGGGTCCTGACTGATTGAGCAAGCAGGGGGTACGTGACTAGGGGACGCATACACTGTTAATTAGAACGGAACAGAACAGGACAGGGATCTTCACAGTGCTTTTTTATGCAAATAACCGATTAGGTCAGGGGTCTATCTTTACCAGGCCCAGGGTGTGGTGCTGGGCTGTCTGCTTGTGGATTTCATTTCTGCCTTTTAGTTTTTACTTCTTCTTTCTTTGGAGGCAGAAATTGGGCATAAGACAATATGAGGAGTGGCCTCCTCCCTTAACAACACCAAATGCTGAAGGATGTGGTGAAACTGGATCACTCCTATGTGGCTGGCAGGAATGTAAAATGGTGCAAACACTCTGGAAAATAGTTTGTCAGTTTCTTACAAAACCAACCATGCAAGGACCATATGATCCAGTGAACGCATTCTTAGGTATTTATCTCAGAGAATGGAAACTTATGTTCACCCAAAAACCTGTGCATGAAAATTCACAGCAGCTTTATTCATAATAGTCCTGAACTGGAAGCAAGCCAGACATCCTTTCAGGGGTGAACGGTTCAACAAATTGCAGTTCATTCCTACCACAGAATGCCACTCCAGCACTAGAGAGGAGCAAGCTATTGATGTACGCAACAATTTGGATGAATCTCGAGGAGGTTATGCTGAGTGAAAAGCTCCAATCTGCAGTTTACGTACCGTATTGCTCCATTTCTATAACACCCTCAAAATGACAAAAGTACAGAAATAGATGACAAATGAGCAGTTCCCAGGGCTTAGCGATGGGGGATGTGGAAAAAGAGGGATGTGGATATGAAAAGGCCACTGCTTGGACAATGTTTAGTTTCAGCTTAAAAACTCTCATCTCACCCTCTACAACTGCCTCTCCCCTCCAGCCTCCTCTAACATGTCCTCTGGCTCATGTCTAAGTGGATTTGTCACACGTGTTTGGGAAGTCATTACCCAGGAAAAGGCTCCTCTCTTGACCAATCTAACCCAGCCCTCTTCACATCTCTCTTATTTCCTTTAAACACCCTTTGCAGGCAACGTCAAAAACATGCTGTCTTTTGAAAACATAAACTTCTTGCTCTCTGAGAGCTGGAAGTCTGGGCAGAGATGAAGTGTACCTTGTTCAGACCCTTCTCCTGTGCCTAAGCCACCTGTCAGCCAGGAAGCTTGCTGGTGGTGGTAGCTCTGGCCCAGACCCTTACGATGAAGAGTTGACTACAGCAGGTGAGATGGGCACTAACAAGGAGAAAGGGGTGCAGGGGCAGGAAGGGGGTGTTTCTTATCCCCACAGCTGCCTTCCCTCAGACCTTTCCTGGCACTGATTGTAGTTAGTGCTTCAAAGAGCTGCTTCCCTTGTTCACAGATAGTAAAAGGCATTGAAGATTGTCACCAAACCAAGTTCCAGCCTAGGTGAACATGTTCAGTAGGGACACTGGGTGTCTCTTCCTCTCCCAAAAGTAAGGTATTAGACATACCTGAGGCCGGGCGCAGTGGCTCATGACTGTAATCCCAGTACTTTGGGAGGCTGAGGCAGGTGGATCACCTGAGGTCAGGAGTTCGAGACCAGCCTGGTCAGTATGGCAAAACCCTGTCTCTACTAAAAGTACAAAAATTAGCCAGACATGGTAGCAGGTGCCTGTAATCCCAGCTACTCAGGAGGCTGAGGCAGGAGAATTGCTTGAACCTGGGAGATGGAGATTGCAGTGAGCTGAGATTGTGCCACTGCACTATAGCCTGGGTGACAAGAGCAAGACTCCGTCCCCACCCCCCCAAAAAAAAGACATAACTGAGACTAATTTATAAAGGAAAGAGGTTTAATTGACTCATAGTTCCACTTGACTGGGGAGGCCTCACAATCATGGTGGAAGGCAAAGGAGGAGCAATGTCACATCTTACACGGTGGCAGGCAAGAGAGAGAGCATGTGCAGGGGAATGCCTCTTTATAAAACCATCAGATCTTGTGAGACTTATTCACTATCATGAGAACAACATAAGACCTGCCACCATGATTTATTTACCTCCCACCAGGTCCCTCCCATGGCACATGGGTATTATGAGAGCTGTAATTTGAGATTGGAGGGAGGACACAGCCAAACCATAGCACCCACTCTCCTTGCTTGGCCTACTTGGTCTGAGGGGACCCAGCCACTCGTTTGTTCTTCCTTTTCATCATGTTGCCCTGTCCCCATGTGGTCTTTATGTTCTAGCCACAGTGTGCATCCCTCCCCAGGGCCTTAACACCTGCTGTTCCTCCCCCTGAATCCCTTCCCCCAGATCTTCTTACCTCTGGCTCTTTCTTATCCTTTTGGTTTCACCTCTGATGTTGCCTCCTCTGAAATGCCTCTGATCACCCTTTGCAGGGATCACCCCAATTGTCTTGATTATGGGTCCCTGTTTATTTTCTCCACAGTTTGCCAAATGCTGTTAATGTGTTTCCTTCGGGTGGTTTCTATCCATCTCCCTTTATATCACAGCAGCATTTGGGCCAGCTTCATTCACCACGAATGCCCCAGCATCCAGCTACAGAGTGTGGTGACAAATGTTGGCATTAAAGAAAATACTTGCTGAGTGAATAAATGAATAAGGATTGGATGTGGCTGCAGAGACTGGCTCTGGGCAAGTGTGGCCCAACTATATTAGATATCTGTTGATAAATAACAAATTCCCCCATGACTTCACGGCTGAAAACAGCAAATGTTCATTATCTCATGATTTTGAGAGCCGTGAATCTGGGAGTTGCTTAGCTGGGTGTTGCTGGCTCAGGATCTCTCTTTCATCAAGTTCTAGTCAAGATGTTGGCTGGGGCTGCAGTCATCTGAAGACTGGACCAGGGCTGGAGGATCTGCTTCCAACATCGCACATTCACGTGGCTGCTGGTGGGAGGCCTCAGCTCCTTGCTCAAAAGAGCTGCTTGTGAGTCTTCAAGACACAGCCACCAGCTTTCCCTGGAGATAGTGATCCAAGAGAGAGCAAGGCACAGTACCATTGATGGTTTATTCTTGGAAGTCATAGCCCGTGGCTCATATCTATGGATCACAGAGGCCCACCCAAATACCATATGGAAGGAGACTCCTCAAGGGCGTGGGTGTCTGATCTGGGTGGCTGTTAGACACGGGTAGTCATTTCCTCAAATTTTGCTGAGCCGACATTTACGATTTGTATTATTTTGTTTGTATGTTACACTTCCATCAAAGAATTTAAAAACCAAAACATGAGATTATACTTCTGAAAGTTTGCTTGACTTTCTTTTTTGGTTACAGTTTATTCATCTTTTTTTCCACCAAAGAAAGAGTTAATCTCTCCTCCTTCCAGCTATCTTGCCAACAGCTCTGAGAGAGTAAAGAATCTGACCGAAAGCATACAGTATAAGTGATCGTGTCAGCATTTCTCCGGCACTAATGCCCTAGAGTCTCTTCACTGGACCAGGACACTGAAGAGGACAGAGTGGCCCAGGGATGGCAAAAGGGAAAAGCAGAATCCTCAGACTCAGGAAACAGAATGAGAAGGGTGCTTTAGGCGGAGGGGGCCAAGGCGACCCAAACTGAGAAACTCCAGGGAGTCATTGTTTTCGAAGTCCTTCCACCCATCACTCTCCCTCTCCTCTCACTCCTCCAGTGCCTTTTGCTTTTCAGGAAACAGTTCGAAACTGAAAGCAGTCTGTGCTGGTCCCTGGCTGTGCTGACAGGTTGAAATTTTCAACAGGGAACCAGTGCAAAGACAATGGTGATTTGAGAGTGGACATTGGGCTTTAGGTTTGAGTACGTGTGTATGTGACCCTGTGGGGATTTCTTTCTTTTCTTTTTTTTTGAGATAGACTTGCTCTGTCTCCCAGACTGGAGTGCAGTGGCTCGATCCCAGCTCACTGCAACCTCCGCCACCCGGGTTCAAGCGATTCTTGTGCCTCAGCCTCCCGAGTATCTGGGACTACAGGCGCATGCCACCACGCCAGCTAATTTTTGTATTTTTTGGTAGAGACAGGGTTTTGCCATGTTGGCCAGGCTGGTCTCGAATTTCTGGCCTCAAGTTATCCACCCGCTTCGGCCTCTCAAAGTGCTAGGATTACAGGCATGAGCCACTGTGCTCAGCTAATTTTTGTATTTTTAGTAGAGATGGAGTTTCACAGTGTTGGCCAGGCTGGTCTCAAACTTCTGGCCTCAAGTGATCCGCTTGCCTCAGCCTCCCAAAGTGCCGGGATTACAGGCGTGAGCCACCGCACCCTGTGGGAATTTCTTTCTTCAACTCTCAAGCCTGCACATAAGGACCTGATTCAGGAAGATCCACACAGAAACTCAGGAAGACTCTGGCTGGGGAGGTCCCCCTCTCACATGCAGAGTGACCTCTCCATAGACATTGCCCGGAGTTGATTAATTGTTTGGTTTTCAAGGCCTGCCATAGAGAAACTTAGAATACAACGCCTAAGGAGTCGACAAGCTGCACATCCAATATCATAGAGCCACCCACTGAGGAAATTGAGTCTCTTTCTCTTTTGCAAAGGAAAAAATAATTAAGCAAAGATTAAAGCCCAAAGTGAATGTCTTTCCTTGGACTGGAATCAGACATATCTGCTTTATTCCTCTCTGGCCTTCAGGGCCTCCCTAAGGTCCAGAGGGGCCTGGGCCACTTCTATTTTTGAGAGAGAGAGAGAGAGAGAGAGAGAGATGAAAAAACAAGGTTACAAAATTGCGGTATATTTTAAATGAGGGAAGTTCACAGATCAATTTCTTGGTACACAAAAAGCAATAAAGTATAATTAATTGAGCTCTAAAAAGAAGATTGTGGCTGGATGCAGTGGCTCACGCCTATAATCCCAACGGTTTGGGAGGCTGAGGTGGGAAGATTGCTTGAGTCCAGGAATTTGAGGCTGCAGGGAGCTATGATTGTGCCACTGAACTCCAGCCTGGGCAGCAAAGCAAGACACTGTCTGCAAGGGGGCAGATAATAAAAGGATACGTATAAATGTATGGGTTCAATACTTCTGCCAACCAGCCCTGAAGTTTGTGGAAGGAAAATAAATCTCCAGACCCCACAACCACCAAGCCAAAGGGAACAGCCAAGCTGGGAACTGTTTAGAGCAAACCTGCCTCCCGTTCTATTGCTAAAAAAGATAGCTACTAAGATTTAAAAAAAAAAAGCTACATACCTCCCTCACAATTCGTTCACAAAGAAATTCCTTACGGACAAAGGACAGATGTAACTCAATGTCATCCCTTTACTCTCTGAGATAAATGTATATCTGATTGCTTCCCTTGGAAAGGCTAATCAGAAACTCAAAAAAATGCAACTGTTTGTCTCTTATCTACCTGTGACCTGGAAGCCCCCTCCCACTTTGAGTTGTTTTGCCTTTCTAGACCGAACCAACGTACATCTTACATATTAGGTTGGTGCAAAAGTAATTGTGATTTTTGCCATTAAAACTAATGTTGCCCAGGCTGGAGTGCATTAAAAGTAATGGCAAAACTGCAATTACTTTTGTACCAATCTAATATACTGATTGATGTCTTATGTATCCTTAAAATGTATAAAGCCAAGCTGTGCCCTGACCACCTCATGTTGTGAGGACCTCCTGAGGCTGTCATGGATGTACTTTTAACCTTGGCAAAATAAACTTCCAAAATTAATTGCGACTTGTCTCAGATACACTTTGGTTCACAAGTTATATAGATAATCTAACTTAGGTCTGGCATTGGTTATAGTTAGTGCTTCAAAGACTGCTTCCCTTGTTCACAAATAAGAAGCATTGAAGATTGTCACCAAACCAAGTTCCAGCCTAGGTGAACATGTTCAGTAGGGACATTGGGTGTCTCTTCCTCTCCCAGAAGTGAGAAGTTCAACGTGCAGTGTGTGTGCTGCTTCTCAATATAGCGGAAGCCATGGGCCAGAATCAGATGTGTCCTCCTCTTTCCTGCCTGGATGCCCCCTGCCCTGGGCACTTGTCTTTAGGGATGAAACTTGCTCTGGTTGGAACTGCCCATTGAGCTTCAGATCCTGGTTGCACCTTGGCCCCTGGTCCCTGGCCCCTTGAGTCTAGGCGTGCCTGCACCGGCCCAGGGAGCTTCTCTCCTGAGCTTTCTGCAATCTCCCATCTCCAGCCTCAGACTTGAGACAGGGCTGGACAAGGAAGCAGATAGGGAAAGAAAGCAGAAGTGGGGCTCAGACCCTGGGAGAGGGGACTCCACCTTGTCCTACCAGAGCCTGATGCAGTGACAAGTGACATCTGAGAAGAGGCCACCAGGGATCGGGCTGCTCGGCTACTGGCAGCTCTGTTCCTCCTGAATGTCTCAGGTGGGTGGGCCCTGGACATGGAAGTAGGGACATGGAGAGAGGGCAGGAGGACAGAGGAGCATCAAGGAGCTGTCAGCAGCTGCCTCACTAGCTGAGTGCCAGGCTCCAGGGCACAGCGCAGGTGAGTCATGTTCCACTGCATCCTCGACAGAGAAGGCCCTGGGGGAGAGGTGCCTGTGATTGTCATTGCCACAGTTATCCAATCCGAAATGCCATCTTGATGAACCACACATACAATCATAGATGCATGCACGTGCACACACAGGCATGCACACGCACAGTGTTTTCCCAGTCCATGCCCTTCCTGTCTCCATGGAAACCCCCCTCCCCGTTCCCACCTCTGCAGGGAGGGAGCTACTCACCCCTCAGTTCAGATTCCTGGGTGGACAAGGGCTGTCTGCCTGCCACTGTCTCCTCTACAACCCCAGGGTCCGAGAGGCCCTGACCCCAGAACATCCCTGACCCAGGCCCATCTGAGGAGAAGCTGGGACTTTGGCTTGTATTTTCCAGGCTGTTTTGCTGTGGGCGGCCCCAGCACCATGACAGACACCGCAGTGGGGATCCCTGAATGTGCAGTGTCAGTATGAGGAGGAATACAGGACTTTCAACAAATACTGGTGCAGACAACCACTTTTTCTACTATGTGACAAGACTGTAAAGGCTGGAGAGTCAGCAGGAGTGAGTAATGGCTGAGTGTCCATCAGGGACCATCCTGCAAACCTCAGCTTCACAGTGACCCTGGAGAGCCTCACAGAGGAGGATGCAGGTGGATATTTGTGTGGGGTCAATAGACTATTGCTCCAAGAATTTCAAGATCTTGTCTTCCAAGACCTTGTCTTCCAGGTGGAGGTGTCGGTGTTCCCAGGGGAGCCCCCTTCACTCAGCACCAGGCCTGTCTGAGTCTAGGGCTGGTCATTCTGTCCCTGAAGTGAGAAATGGGACAGGAGTGTGTGAGGTTGCAGGCAGTGACTTAGGACACAGTGTCTGTGTGTGCATGCATGGGTTTGCTGTGTGTGTATGCACAGGTGTGTGTGTGCGCACGCATGCACAGGTGTGAGTTGTGTTTGTGGTGTGTGTGTGTGCGTGCGCAGGTGTGGTGTGTGTGTGCTTGCACAATTGTGTGGTGTGTTTGTGTGTGTGCACCCGTGTGTGTGTGTGCTGACATGCACAAAAGCACATTTGCACCTGTTGTTGGAGACTCCTCTGTGTGCCCCACCCTGAAAGTGTCTGGCCTTGTGGGGCCACCAGCCTGGCTGACATTTGGGGTTGAGTGGACTCGGGTCCCATCATTCAGGGAGGGCCCCACTGACTTCCTGTCCTTACTTCCAGTTCACTCCAGCCACTGCCATGCCCAGGGCCCTGGCTCCGCAGTCACTCTAGGTCACGCTTCACAGAGTGAATGTCACCCCTCCCTCCTTGGCTGGGATGGGGTCTGCAGCCAGGTCTTCTTTCCACAGACTCTCACGTTCCCCTAGAGAGCAGGTTGACTCTTGCCTCTGAAAGTGCTCATCTGGCTATGAAGTACTTGGGGATAAGACTAGGGAGGGGCCCAGGGCCCTGGTCCGGCCTGCGTGTGGCCGTGGAACGTGTTGGACTCAGGGCATCTGTCCAGCATGTACTGAGTGATCGTGTCTGTGGAAATCAGAGCTGAACAGGTGATGATGAGTGGGAGACTCAGGCGAGGTCGCCGAGACTGACCTGTGATGCCCCTGCAGCCCTGACAGCGGCCTCCAGTCTCAGAGCTCCACGGGCACCTCGGGTCCTCCCGTTACGTCCCAGCGTGCACCTGGCCCAGCTCTACCAGACAGGACAGCCCTGATCCCAGCCCACACCCAGGGTAAGGTTCGTGCCCCCAGGACTGCCACCTGGGCAGCCTTTCCTGTAGGCTGGGGAGAGATGGGATGGTTGTGTCTCTCTTCTTCTGGTCCCTTCTTTGCTCACGCCTCCCACACCTAATGTGAAGGTCCTACTAAGTGCCAGGTGCTCCTGTCAGGATAGGGTCACAGCAGGGAACCACTCAGCCACAGTCCTGCTCTGGTGGAGTTTGGGTTCTACCAGGTGGATTCACACAGTGAACAGGTCAGCACAGTGGCTGACAGACAAATACAGCGAAGTTTGATGACTGCTGGGAAGAGATATTTGTGCCTTGGGTTTGGGGAGCATGTGTGTGGGTGTTGGAGTCGCTATTTCACTGACAATGATCAGAAGAGGGTTTGTGGATTAGAGGACATGAGCGTGGAGACCTGCAGGATTTGGGAGCAGGGCGCTCTGGGGTCTGGGGGAAGAGGGGTCCAGGCAGAGGGAGGAGTGAGGCAAATGTCCTGCAAGGGAGTCCTGGGACCCGGCCAGGCCAGGGCAGGGGGCAGATGTTTTGGTGCCCGGTGACCCCGGCCCTCTCCCCTGGCCTCCCTTGCAGCCCTGGCCCGAGTCTCATCCTGTTTGATGAGCCCAGTCCTCTGAGGAGCTGAGAGCTGAGCTGGGCCATTCATTCATTCCTTCCATTCCTTCAACAACCATGAATTTTACAGGCTGATATTTGCAACCAGAGGGCAGGTACCAGTTACTTGTGAATAACATGAATAGTCCTCACCTTCTCGGGAAATGATGGCCATACAGGCATCAAACTACATGACTGATTCCATGCGCCAGTGAATAACCCCGGGATGTAGAGATCTTGTGGGTGTGGTTCTCACCTGGATCCCTCCCTGTCCTCATGCACCATTTTCACGGCCACGTGCTTCCTTATAGGCAGTCCTGAGACTCCAGGGACTCTCAGGCTGAAGGTCAGGGTCTAATGATCTCTTTAGAGGAGTTGTCATATACAGAGTTTGTCCTCACAGGGATTTGTGTGGCCACAGGACCTGGGTTCACAGACAGGCAGAAGGTGGAGGGCACCTGGGCTTCCCCTGGGGAGATGACTCACTGCCATCACCGTGTCCCCACAGCTCCCTGTTCAGCAGCCCCTACGTCCTGCTCCTGGTCCTGGAGCTGCCCCTGCTCCTGAGCATGCTGGGTGCCGTCGTCTGGGTGAACGGACCTCAGAGAAGCTCTGGAAGCAGGCAGAGTTGGCCAGAGGGTGAGAACCAGTAGCATCTACTGTCCATCAAGGCCCTGCACTGCGACAGAACCCCTTTGCGGGACTGGAATGACCTCCTGACCACTCCCTCCCGGGCTGCTCTCTCCACATCTCCTGGAATTCTCTGTGAGCCTCCTTCAGCCTTTTCCCTGTGCCTGATCCATGAATCACACGTGAACCTGATGGACACAGACGCCCTGAGCTGTGACTCCATGTCTCATGTGCACGCCCTGGCCAGCTGAACCTCGAGCTGTCACCAACACCTCTAAGTGCCTGATGCCCTCTCTGCACCTTTCCATTTCTCCAGGAGCTTGGCATTGCTTCCTTCAACGTTTTCACAGGGAGGAGCAGGTCCAGGACTCCCCTGCACCTTTGCCACCATAATGGCCCACACTCCCCGGGTCCAGGAGTGCAGAATATGTGGCTGCTTCCATTTGCTGAGTGTGTCAATTCAATGATGCTTTCGAACTTTAAGAAATGACAATACATAGATTCTGGACCTATCATGCCCACTAAGTCAGACCTGGGTGAAAACTCCATTGTTCCCTGATCTCCACAGGCCTTTGCTCAGAATAGTGGACTAAGCCCCAGGCTGGGCCTCTCAGGACTGGGGTCCCTGCAGAAGAGGATCCAGGATTCCCCCCAAAACCTGACAATTCCGTTCCTTATGTAGACACATCCTGGCCAGTGTCTTCTGGTCCCTGCGGGAGGGCTGGTAGAAGATTATCAGTGTGAGTTGTGGCATGGTAGCCAGGCCTTTCCTTCCTCCTTCCTCAAGGGGACCTGACCTCCCCTTCATTCCAGGGCTGTGGCTTTTAACTGACTCAAATATGGAAATTGGTTGAGGGCCGTGACTTCTTAATGTGGTAGTTAACTGAGTCTTTTGCTTACTAGTGCAGACCATGTCTGCTTATCCAGACAAAGGAAGACGTTATCAGCTGACCATCGTTTCGGTTCCAGGGATGCCACACCCAAGACCCCTGTGAGGCAGATGATCCCCATGAGTCCACCAGGTCAAGGAGGGACACGCCTGGGGGTCCTCACCTATTTTTACATTCAGCAGATACTTATGGGAGCTTCTGGTGTATCAGACACTGACCTGGCATTGGAGTCCAGCCGTGAACACCCAGGCAAGGAGCTCTGTTTTCATTGAGCTCATATTCCAGGCGGGGGATAGAAATGATAAACAGATGCAAAAATACGTGCATAAATTCCAGAAGAAATATAAAAGTCAGAGATGAAAAGAGTCACGGAATGAAATAAGAGAAGTGGGGTGACTGCTGTGCAGGAGCTGAGGGGGACTGTGGTGAAGCCCCTCTAATAGGCGCTGAGCAAGCAGGGATCAGGAGAAAGGAGGGGGTGAGCGCCAGGATCCCTGGAGGAGGAGCCCTGAGGCAGAGAGAGGAGCAGGTGCACATGTCCTGCCAGGGGCAGATGCCTCCCTGGGTCAGGTGGCTTCAGGGCCTCCAGACAGCATTTCCTGTCTCCTCCCCAGCCTGGGCAGGAAATGGTGCACCAACTTTGGATGACTAAGTCCTCTGAGGCAGTGGGACATCAGGATGTCATGTATCCATTCACCCATTCATCCTTTCAACAGCCAGTTTGTTAAACTGCACTTGGCAGACTCTGGAATGATAACGGGCACAGCTGTGAATGAGACAAGAGGCTGCACCTGCTCTCAAGGGGCGGCCACCCTAGATGGGAGCAGACATTGACTCGCCAACAGAAAGACTGAGGAAGACGAGAGGGAAGTGTGAAATGGGTCATGAGGACCCCTAAAAAGCGAGCCACCATAACCCGGGAAGGTCAAGGAACACGCAGGCAACCCTGTCGGCTGGAGCCAGGCAGAGGAGTGGGAGGTTGAGGGTCTGGACAAAGGCCCGAGTGGGGAGGGTGGCAGCACCAGTGTGAACCTGGATCCAGGAGGCTGGAGACACCTACCAGGTGCTGGGGCCTGCCAGGACCTGTGTGCAGAGGCCAGGTCAGGTGGGTGCCATCCTGTGACAGCAGGAGCCATTGGGAGTTCAGCAGCGCCTCCCCAGGGCCATGTGTGTGTGTCAGGGATCACATTGCTGATTCTGTGGAGAATGAAAGGGGTGGGTATGAGCAGAAGGGGAGACCAGGTCAGCCCATGAAAGAGCCGGGATACTTCAAAGCCAGGCCCAGGCCAGACCTGAGCACTGGGCTAATTGGAGGCCCTGGGATTGCACTGGGCTAGAGATAGTCCCATGATGTGAGTCTGGGGGCATCAACACCAATGACCCCAGTGCATGCTGTGTCCCTGAGAGTGTAAATGGAGGGAGGACAGGGCAGGTCGAGGGTGCAGAGACCCCTTCATGGTGCCAGGTTTGCCCAGACTCCCATCACTCTCCACTCAACCTCATGGCTGTGTGCACATACTGGTGCTATTGACTCTGATAGGAAGAAAGGAACAGAAATCTGTAGGAGGGTTGGGAGAGTCAAGGAATATGCTTAAGGCATGAGAAGGTGGAGAAGGGGTGATGCCCTCCAGGACAGACAGGAGGTAAATCCTGTGTCTGACTAGCCTCCTTGCCCTTTCCAGGGTAAAGACACCCTGAGCCCATCACGTCAGGAGAACCAGCCATGCCGAGTGTGGATAGACCTGGGTTCCCGCCTCCTGGGAAGGCCTGTCTGCCATGTCTGCTCCCTGCGGAGGCCCCTGGCCATCACAGTGGACCCAGGATAGACACCAGCAGCCGCTGCTCATGACAAACTGTCCTCTCAGTCACCAAACACCCCTCCGTGTGCCCTGGGGTGTGTGCTGGCTCAGTCGCAGCCTCACATCCTCCACAAAGTCCCACTTCAGCATCTTCACATGTCTGAACTCTCTCTCTATTCTCAGTTCTCTGCCCTGATTCCCACTGGGGCATGGATTTTGGCAAGAAGACAAGATGGAAAAGGAGGGTCTCGGGTGGGTGATGCCGCTGTGTGTGTAGGTCTGGGGGCAGGGGCACAAGAGGAAAACTCCCCAAGCCTGTGGGATTTTAACCTGGTTGGGGACTCAGCACCAAAAAGGGACATGCAGATGGTGTCTGGGTTCATAGCGCTAACTTCTGAGGCCAGAAGAAGAGCTGGGGGTCTTAGGGGCAGAGGTCTCTGCGGGGACCTAGCTGAAGATTAAGGGACACAACCTCTCTCTGGTCACCTCCAAGGCTAAAGAAGGTGGCAGATTTAGCCTCCAACCACAAGATTGTCCATCCTGACCAGGAAGTGACATGTCACAGAGGGTGGAGCAGCCCATGTGGTAGGAAATGGCCCAGCTTGGCTCTGCCTTCTGCAGTGTGAGTAACACACTGAAGCCAGAAGCTGTGGGCTGTGGGGAAGTGGCTGCATCGCCACCCAAGGGACCCTGGACTTTGCCAGACGTCAGGGTTGAGAGGAGCCACTAGCACCATCCCAGAGCTGTCAGCACCGGCCTCAGCCCAGGCGGCTCTCTCCCTGAGCTTCCTGTACCCTGACCCTCTCCAGCCTCAGACCTGAGACAGGGCTGGACAAGGAAGCAGAGAGCAGAAGAAAAGCAGAAGCGAAGCTCAGATCTGCTGGGAGGAGATTACATTTTGTCCCCTCCTGGGGTCTTGCACAGTGGCAGGTGACATTCGTGTTACAGGAATGACTGCCAGGGCCTGGGCCTCGTGGCGGTCTTCAGCTCTGCTCCTCCTGCTTGTCCCAGGTGAGTGGGCCGACCCTGGACTTGGGGAGCTCTGTCCTGAGTGGGAGAGGGCAGGGAGGGGTGCAGGCGCTGGAGTAGCGGTCATAGAGGGGAGTGGGGCAGGGAGAGGGGAGGAGGGCAAAGGAGCACCCAGGAGCGGTCAGCAGCTGCCTCACCAGGGGACAGCAGGCGGCAGGGCACAGCACGGGGGAGGCCTATTCCTCTGTGCCCGAGACAGGAAGCCCTGGTGGGAGGTGATGCTGTGACTGTCATTGCCAAAGTTATCCAATCACAAATTTTATCTGGGACGATCACACACACAGTCACACTCACACGCACACACGGTCACACTCACACAGTCTCACACACATGCACACACAGTCACACTCACACAGTCTCACACACACATGCACACAGTCACACATGCACACACAGTCACACTCACATGCACACACAGTCACACATGCACACACAGTCACACACAGTCACACTCACACAGACAGTCACACTCACACAGTCACACACACAGAGTCACACTCACATGCACACACAGGCCCGCACACACCCAGTGTTTCCCTAGCCTTGCCTTTCCAGTCTCCATGGAAACTTCCCATGCCCTTCCCACCTCTGCACAGAGGGAGCCTCCCACCCTCAGTCCCTGTTCCTGGGTGGACAAAGGCTGCCTGCCTGCCATTGCCTTCTCCACACGCCCAGGGTCCATGAGGGGCTGACACTGCGGCACCCCTGACCAGGCCCCTCTGGTAAGGAGACAGGATTTTGGCTTGTATTTTTCAGGCTATTTTCCTCTGAGCCACCCCATGACCGTGGCGGGCCCCGTGGGGGGATCCCTGAGTGTGCAGTGTCGCTATGAGAAGGAACACAGGACCCTCAACAAATTCTGGTGCAGACCACCACAGATTCTCCGATGTGACAAGATTGTGGAGACCAAAGGGTCAGCAGGGAAAAGGAATGGCCGAGTGTCCATCAGGGACAGTCCTGCAAACCTCAGCTTCACAGTGACCCTGGAGAATCTCACAGAGGAGGACGCAGGCACCTACTGGTGTGGGGTGGATACACCGTGGCTCCGAGACTTTCATGATCCCATTGTCGAGGTTGAGGTGTCCGTGTTCCCGGGTGAGCCCCTCCTTTTCTCAGCACCAGGCCTGCCTGAGCCTAGGGCTGGTCATTCTGTCCCTGAAGAAAGAAGTGGAACAGGAGGGTGTGAGCCTGGGGGTTGGTGAGTCAGGACACTGTGTGCCGCTGTGTGTGGATGAGTGTGAGTGCGTCTTTGTGTATGCGTGCCTGCATAGGAGTTGTGGTGTGGTTTGTGTGTGTGTGCACCTGCATGTGTGTGTTGGGAGGGTGGGCGCCCACAAAAGCACCCTGGCCCTGTGGCTGGAGACCCCCCGCTGTGGGCCCTCCCTCACGGCCTCAGGCCTGAAACTTTCCTGGGTGGGGTCTGTGAGGCCACCCCTGACTCTGGGGTCCTTGCTACCTCCCTGTATTGACAAGGGCCGGATCCATACTGAAGGGTGCCCACTGTCCCGCCTGGGTCTAACTCGCTCTTCCCCACGGGGAATTGGACCCCCCCATCATTGGCTCCTCTCACTCAAGGCTGCCCCTGCCCTGGGGCCTGCATGGATGCCGCCCTGTCTGGAGGGTCCTGAGGCCGCAGCCTCACAGCCCTGTCCTGGGAGCTCCTGCAGCAGCCACTGGAGGACACAGGAAGGAGCCCCAGAGCCCTGGGTGGGGTTCTCATGCTCCTGGGAACCACATCCTGCCCCTGAGGCTGACCTGTGTGTCCCCCTTATTCTCTGGCACCTTTTACCACAGGAGGGAACCCCAGAAATTGCCCCCTCAGGCAAAGGGACCTGTGGATGGAAATGAGCTGAGACTGGCACGGACCTGAGGGCCCTTTCCCGTGCCGAAGATCATTCTTCCCTCAAAGGCCCCCTCCTGTCTCACAAGACACAAACCCAGTGGCCTCAGTGTGGTTGCTTTTCCATCGTTTTCTTCTGACAATGTCCCAGGTTCCTCGGAGCATCTTCTTGTTCTCCATTTCCCCGGGGGCGACGTGTCCCTCCTGCGCCCTTTGTGCCTTCCTATCTAGGAGTGAGGAGCTAAGATCCCACCTGAGGGCGCCAGGGAGAGGAGGAAAGGGCCCTTATCCAGCTGTATTCACCACGGGCCGCCGCCCAGGCTTCACCGGGCATCCCCTCTCTAGATCTTTCTTCCTGGGCATTCCCTCCTGCTGAGAGGATGGTCCAATGGCCTTGTGGGGCCGCAGCATGGCTGCCATTTGGGGCTGAGTGGACTCGGGTCCCATCGTTCAGGGAGGACCCCACTGACTTCCTGTCCTCACTTCCAGCCTCTCTCCAGCCACTGCTGTGCCCAGGGCCCTGGCTTCGCAGTCACTCTGGGTCACCCTTCGCAGAGTAAACATCACCCCATTCCCCCAGGTCACCCTGTCCCTCCCTGGCTGGGGTGAAACCTGGAGACCCGTACCTTTGCCACAGGTGAGCAGGGCAGCTCTCACATCTGAAATGGTGTCCTGGCTCTGCAGTACCTAGGGATGGGACAAGGAGAGGCCCAGGACCCTGGTCAGGCCTGGGTGTGGCCGTGGGGCATGATGGATGCAGGGCATCTGTCCAGCACATCATTGGTGACCTTGTCTGTGAAAATTGGAGCAGAACAGGTGAGAGTAAGTGGGAGACCCATGTGATGTCATCAAGGTTGACCTGTGTTTCACCCACAGCCGGGACGACCACAGCCTCCAGCCCCCAGAGCTCCATGGGCACCTCAGGTCCTCCCACGAAGCTGCCCGTGCACACCTGGCCCAGCGTGACCAGAAAGGACAGCCCCGAACCCAGCCCACACCCTGGGTAAGGTGCCTGCGCATAGGACTGGGCCACGCTGGCGGCCTCCCCACTGCGTGTGATGTTTAGGGGACTCGGATGTCCCTTCTTCCAGTCCCTTCTTTGTTCGCACCTCCCACACCAAACGTGAAGGTTCTATTAAGTGTCAGGCGCTCCTTTTGGGATTGGGTCACAGCAGGGAACCACACAGCCACTGTCCTGCCCTGGTGGAAGTTGAGTTCTACTGCGTGGATTCACGCATTGAGCAAGTCAGCACAGAGGCTGATGTACAAATACAGCAAAGGGTAATGAATGCTGGGATGAGATGTTTGACTCTTGGGTTTGGGGAGAGCGTGTGCAGGTGTTGGAGTTGCTATTTCACTGACGATGATCAGAAGAGGGTTTGAGAATTAGAGGACATGAGCACAGAGACCTCAAGGGTTGGGGGCTGGGCACTCTGGGGTCTGGAGGAAGAAGGGTCCAGGTGGAGGGAGGAGTGAGGCAAATGTCCTGCGAGGAGCCTTGGGACCTGGCCAGGCCAGGGAAGGGGGCAGATGCTCTGGGGTCCGGTGGCCCTGGTCCTCTCCCCTGCCTCTCTCGCAGCCCTGGCCAGAGTTTCATCCTGTTTGATAAGCCCAGTCCTCTGAGGAGCTGAGAGCTGAGCTGTCCATTCATTAATTCCTTCAACAACCACTGAAGTTGTAGGGCAGATTATTGGAGACTCCGGGTAGGCAGCAGGTACTCACTGTGAATGAAACAAATGGTCCCTGCCCTCCTGGAAACGCTGTGTACAGGAGAGTTGACACCAAACAAATAACCCTTTGTGAATTCCGGGACCCCAGCTGGGTAACCCTCCATGGGGAGCACAGAGGTAGACAGCTGCGTCCTGGACACAGACCCTGCCTGGATCCCTGGCGTGACCTCACGTCCTCTCATGGTCCTGCCCTTCCTGTGTCACAGTCCTCAGGTCAAGGGTAAATCCGAGGCTGAGGGTTAGGGGCCGTGATGCTGAGACGGGATGGACTGTCCAGGGGGGTGCTTATGTGGTTGGCTGTGGTCACAGGATTGGGACACAAGGGTCAGGGGATGGTGGAGGGCACCTGGGCCTCCCCTGGGGAGGTGACTCACTGCCTGTCACCGTGTCCCCACAGCTCCCTGTTCAGCAATGTCCGCTTCCTGCTCCTGGTCCTCTTGGAGCTGCCCCTGCTCCTGAGCATGCTGGGTGCCGTCCTCTGGGTGAACAGACCTCAGAGAAGCTCTAGAAGCAGGCAGAATTGGCCCAAGGGTGAGAACCAGTAGCATCTGCTGTCCATCAAGGCCCTGTGCTGCAACAGAGCCCCTCTGGGGGACTGGAATGACCTCCTGACCACTCCCTCCCGGGCTGCTCTCTCCACATCTCCTGGAATCCTTTGTGAGCCTCCTTCAGCCTTTTCCCTGTGCCCGATCCTCATGTGTCACATGTGAACCTGACGGACATGGACGCCCTGAGCTGTGAGTCCACGTCTCATGTGCACGCCCCGGCCAGCTAAGCCTCGGGCCGTCAGCAATACCTCTGAGTGCCCGGATGCCCTCCCTGCACCCTTCCATTTCTCCAGGAGCCTGGCACTGCTTCCTCCACCGTTTTCACAGGGAGAAGCAGGTCTAGGACTCCCCTGCACCTTTGCCACCATAATGGCCCACACTCCCTGGGTCCAGGAGTGTAGAATATGCGGCTGCTTCCATTTGCTGAGTGTGTCGATTCAATGATGCTTTCAAACTTTAATAAATGACAATGTGTAGGTTTGGGATGTATCAGGCCCACTCAGTCAGACCTGAGTGAGAAATCCATTGTTCCCTGATTTCCACAGGCCTTTGCTGAGAATAGTGGACCAAGCCCCATGTTAGGCCTCTCGGAATGGGGGTCCCTGCAGAAAAGGATCCAGAATTTCCCCCAAAGCCTGACTATTCCCTCCTTCAGGTAGACACATCCTGGCCAGTGTCTTTAGGTCCCTCTGGGAGAGCTGGTAGAAGATTCTCAGTGTGAACTGTGGTAGCATAACCAGGCCTACCCTTCCTCCTTCTTCAAGGGGACCTGACCTCTCCTTCATTCCAGGGCTGTGGGTTTTAACTGGTGCAAATTTGGAAACGGATGGAGGGCTATGACTCCTTGATGTGGTAGTTAAGTGAGTCTTTTGCTCAGTAGTGTAGACCATGTCTGTCTATACAGACGAAAGATGTTATCATTTGCCCACCATTTCAGTTCCAGGGTCGCCATGATGACCTGGCCAACACCCAAGACCCCTGTGAGGCAGATGATTCCCATGAGTCCTCCTGGTCAAGGAGGGCCTCGCCTGGGGGGTTCTTAACCCTTTTTTCCATTCGGCAGATGCTTATGGGAGCTTTTGGTGTATCAGACACTGACCTGGCATTGGAGTCCAGCCGTGAACACCCAGGCAAGGAGCTCTGTTTACACTGAGCCCATATTCCAGGTGGGGGATAGAAATGATAAACAAATGCAAAAATACATGAATATGTTCCAGAGGTAATGTAAAAGACAGAGGTGAAAAGAGCCACGGAGTAAAATAAGAGAAGTGGGGTGACTGCTTTGCAGGAGTGGAGGGGTCTGTGATGAAGCCCCTCTAATAGGCGCTGAGCAAGCAGGGATCAGGAGAAAGGAGGGGGGTGAGCGCCAGGATCCCTGGAGGAGGAGCCCTGAGGCAGAGAGAGCAGCAGGTGCATGTGTCCTGCCAGGGGGGCATCTTAGACTTGGATCTGGAAAACACAGGAAGCAGATCCCTCTCTGGATCCAGTGGCTCCAGGGCCTGCAGATAGCATTCTCTGTCTCCTCCCCAGCCTGAGCTGGATATGGCACACCAGCATCAGACAATTAAGTTTTCTGAAGGCAGGTAAGACTCGAGAGAGTCATGCATTCATTCATTCATTCAACAAGCAATTTGTTGACTTGCCCTTGGCAGACCCCAGGATGACAGCAAGTCACAGCTGTGATCAGGACAAGATACTGCCCTGGTTCTCCATGAGCTACCAGTCCAGACGAAACCCACCAACAAAACAGTGATAAACACAAGAGGGAAATGTGAAATGGGTCATGAGGACCCCTAAAAAGGAAGCCACCATAACCCAGGAAGGTCAAGGAACACGCAGGCAAACCTGTCAGCTGGAGGCAGGCAGAGGAGTGGGAGGTTGAGGGTCTGGACAAAGACCCGAGTCGGGAGGGTGGCAGCACCGAGGTGAACCTGGAGCCAGGAGGTTGGAGCCACTTGCCGGGTGATAGGGGCTGCCAGGACCTGTGTGCAGAGGCCAGGTCAGGTGGGTGCCATCCTGTGACAGCAGGAGCCATTGGGAGTTCAGCAGTGCCTCCCCAGGGCCGTGTGTGTGTGTCAGGGGTCACATTGCTCATTGTGGGGAGAATGAAAGGGATGAGTAAGAGCAGAAGGGGAGACCAGGTCAGGTCCCCGTGGCAGGGCCAGCTACTGCCAAGCTGGGTCAAGGTCAGACCTGAACACTGGGCAGGTGGGAAGGCCCGGGATTGCATTGGGCTGGCGACAGTCCCATGATGTGAGTCGGGGGCATCAGCACCAATGACTGCAGTGCACACTGTCCCTGAGAGTGTAAATGAAGGGAGGGCTGGGCAGGACAAGGGTGCAGTGACCCCTTCATGGTGCCAGGTCCACCAAGATTCCCCTGTCACTCTCCGCTCGGCCTCTGGTGCTATTGGGCATGATAGGAAGAAAGGAACGGAAATCTGTAAGAGGGTTGGGAGAGTCAAGGAATATGCTTAAGGCATGAGAAGGTGGAGAAGGGGTGATGCCCTCCGGGACAGACAGGAGGCAAATCCTGTATCTGACTAGCCTCCTTGCCCTTTCCAGGGTAAAGACACCCTGAGCCCATCATGTCAGGAGAACCAGCCATTCTGAGTGTGGACAGACCTGGGTTCCCGCCTCCTGGGAAGGCCTGTCCAACATGTCTGTTCCCTGGGAGGCACCTGGCCATCACAGTGGACCCAGGACAGACACTAGCAGCCGCCGCTCAACAACCATAAATTTTACAGATAGATGTTTGCAGCCACAGGGCAGGTGCCAGTTTATCTGTGAAGAGGACTAGACAGGGCTCCTGCCTTTGTGGGAAATGCCATCTGGAGAGGAGCAGGCATTCGACAGATATCCAGGTTATTGATTCCTGCACCTCTGAAGAGTCTGCTCCTGCACACAAAGGGCTTTGGTAGAGATTCTTGTGGATTCAGGTCCTACCAGGTCCCTGGGTGTCCCCTCACATTGCTGCTATCGCCCTGCCCTGCCTCAGCCCACAGCCCTGAATCTCAAGGCAATTCTTAGGGTGATAATTAGAGGCCATTGGTCTTATGTATCTGGCTGCTATGTCCAGGTTAGTTCTTGATTTTTGTGCCCACAGTACCTTGGCACTGGAGATAGGGGCAAGGTGGAGGGCACCAGGTCTTCCCCTGGGGAGGTAACTCACTGCCTGTCACCGTGTCCCCACAGGTCCCTCCTCAGCAGTCTCCACATCCTGCTCCTGATCCTCCTGGAGCTTCCCCTGCTCCTAAACAAGCTGGGGGCTGTCCTGTGGGTGAACAGGGCTCAGAGAAGCTCGGTGGGGAGGCAGAGTCAGCTGGATTGTGAGAAACAGTAACTCTGATGCCCATCAATACCGCGCCAAGCAACATACTCCCTCTTACATATGGGAATGGCCTTCTGACCAACAAATCCATGTTTCTATCAGAAGATTTGGAGGCTTTTTTCTTGTGATGTATCAGACACACAAAAGAATACATGCACTTTACACCAAGAATACTCTTTAACCTGTGTGTGCCCACCATCCAGTTTAAGTAATAGAACATCATTCATACTCATGAAGCCCCAAACCGCTTGCTGATCTTATGCAATTTCTTTTCTATCCTTCTCTCAGAAAACCACATCCTACATTTTATTTTATTGTATCTTTTTTTATAGAGATGGGTCTTACTATGTTACCCAGGCTGGATTTGAACTCCTGGGCTCAAGCCTTGGTCCTGTCTCAGCCTCTGGAGCAGCTGGGACTACAGGCATGCACCACAGCACCTGGCTCACATTCCGATTGTTATGTTCATCATCATCTTGTTTTAAGGGATTTGCCACATACATGCATATGGATTTCCAAAGGGTATGTTGTTTAGCTTTGTTTATTTTTGAACTTTCTGTGAATAGTATTAGGCATTTTTATTTCTAAGCAATCAGACTTTATCTTTCAACACTTTTTTTTTTTTTTGAGATGGAGTCTCACTCTTTCACCCAGGCTGGAGTGCAGTGGTGCGATCTCGGCTCACTGTAACCTCTGCCTCCCAGGTTCAAGCGATTCTCCCACCTCTGCCTCCTGAGTAGCTGGGACTACAGGCATGTGCCACCATGTCCGGCTAAATTTTTGTATTTTTAGTAGAGAGGGGTTTTACCATCTCCTGACCTCGTGATCCATCCGCCTCAGCCTCCGAAAGTGCTGGGATTACAGGTGTGAGCCACAGTGCCTGGACCATTCAACACTTTATTTTTGAGATTCATCCATGTTGATGTGTTGACGCACTGATGTGTCACTTCTTTGTATTGGTCTACATTCTGTTGTATGAGCATACCATAACTCGCACATCCCTCTTTCTTAAACAGGCATTTAGGTTGTTTCTTTTCTTTCTCTTTTTTGTGCTCTTCTTATTTTCCTCCTTCTCTTTCTCTATCCTTTCTCTCTCGTCTTCCCCTTCCTCTTCCTCCTCCTCTTGTCCCTCCTTTCTCCTCTTTCTACTCTTTTCTGCCTACTCTTCTGCCTACTTCTCCTCCTCCTCCTCCTTTTCTTCTTTTTTCTTTTCCTCCCTCTTTTTTTCCTCCTCTTCCTCCTGCTCTTCCTACCTCTTGGTCCTCCTCCTCTTCTTTTTTCTCTTCCTCCTCCTCCTTTTCTTCCTTCTCTTCTTTTTGTGTTGCCATTACTTATAACGTTATTATGAACATATATCCTAATTTTGTCTGTCCAAAAGTGTCTCCTAGAGTAGAGTTCTAAGGGAATAATTGCTAGGTTTTGCTGCATGTGTGTAATCAGCTCTACTAGGCAAGCGCAAATTATTTTCCAAAGTAACTGCACCAATTTTTGCTTCTTATCAGCAGTGCTCCTGCTTGAATCTTATCAGACTTTCTAAATTTGTTCAAGTTAATGGGTATGAAATGGTATCTCATTGTTTTAATTTGAATTTCTCTGCTTACTAATGTTAAACTCATGCTCATGTGTTTTTTGGTTATCTGAATTTTCTCTTTTGAGAAATGCCTCTTCTAATCTTCATCTACTTTCTGTTGTTTGTCTGTGTTCTTTTTTTTTTTTTTTTTTTGAGACGGAGTCTCGCTCTGTTGCCCAGGCTGGAGTGCAGTGGCGTGATCTCGGCTCACTGCAAGCTCCGCCTCCTGGGTTCATGCCATTCTCCTGCCTCAGCCTCCCGAGTAGCTGGGATTATAGGCGCCCACCACCACGTCCTGCTAATTTTTTGAATTTTTAGTAGAGACGGGGTTTCACCATGTTAGCCAGGATGGTCTCGATCTCCTGACCTCATGATCCAATTGGTAGAAGTTCTTTGCAAGTCTTTTGTTAGTTACTGGTGCTCCACATATACTTTCCTGGGCTATTGGCTTTATGATATCTTTTGAGAAACAGGATTTTCACTTTAATGTACAAATTATTCATTTTCCTTAATGGTTTATACTTTCATCTTGCTTAACCAATTATGGATACTCCCAAATTAAAAAAAAATTATCCTATATCTTCTTCTAAAATTTTTTAAATATTCCCTTTCACAGGTAAGTCCTTGACCCATTTCTAAATGATTTTGTTTCTAGGCTGAGATAATAATCCATTTTTCTGTCTTCCATTTGGATAAGCATTATCCACATTTTCCCAGCAATCTGCAATGCAACCCCTGGCAGGTGTTTATTTCTATGTCTGCTTGGACCTTTTTCTAACCACTCTATTATGTTGAATTTGCCTAATTGCTTATTTTGGAACCAAGACAACATTGTTTTAATTACTATAGCTGTATTTAAATGTCTTGTTATCTGGTAAGTCATGTCACTATACATTGTTCTTTGATATTGGGAATGTCTTTGCAAATATTGGCCATTTCCTCTTCTGCAGAAATTTTAGAATTAACCAGTCAACGTACTAAAAAAGAAAAAAAATTATGTTGAGACTTTAAATGTAAATGTATGAAATTTATCTTTATAATAATTTCTCTGTCTATGAACATGGTATGTAATTCTAATTATTTATGAGCTTTTAAAATGTCTTTTAATAACATTCTATTATTTTCTCCTTGATATTTGCTCATATATTTGTTAAGTGTAATTCTGGATATTTTATGTTTTTATTCTTATTTTGTGGCTTTTTTTTTTTTTTTTTTTGAGACAGAGTTTTGCTCTTATTGCCCAGGCTAGAGTGCAGTGGTGCAATCTCGGCTCACTGCAACCTCCGCCTTCTGGTTTCAAGTGATTCTCCTGCCTCAGCCTCCCAAGTTGCTGGGATTACAGGTGCCTGCCACCATGCCCAGTTAATTTTTTTGTATTTTTAGTGAAGACGGGGTTTCACCATGTTGGTCAGGCTGGTCTTGAACTGATGACCTCGTGATCCATCTGCCTCAGCCTCCCAAAGTGCTGGGATTACAGGCATGAGCCACCGCGCCCCGCCCCATTTTGTGGCATCTTTTATTGCATTTTCAAGTTATTCATTGCATGCATGTAGATAAACAATTGATCCTTACTGATTATATATATTTAGCAACTCTGCAAAAAATCTTAGTAATTGTTTTCAGTTTTATATGTAGATAATCAATTAATCTAGAATAATTTAGAGCTTTGTTTTTCTTTCTAATTCTCATGTCTTTTGTTTCTCTTTCTTGTTGTATTGTGCAGGCTAATCAAAGTGTTGAATCAAAGTAGTGATTTTGAGCAATCTTGTCCTCTTCCTGATTCTAAAGGAAAGATTTTGCCATGGGTTGTAATGGGTTGCTTATAGGCACCTTTTAATTCCTAGTTTATCATGAAAAGTAATGGATTTCAGATAGTGGTTTTTGTGCGTTTACATGATTATGTGGGTTTTCTTCTTTATTCTATTAATGTGATTCATTATATTAATTTTTTTAGATGAAGCCTCATTCTGTCACCCAGGTTGGAGTGCAGAGAAGACGATCTGTTACCCATCTAGAAAGAGAAGTGAGAATAAAAGCATTATTTTAGTCTCCTTCCTTTCAGTATGTGATCCAGGATGGAGAACACAGTAGGGGGCGTTCCCCCAACTATTTTCTTTCCCTGGTTCCTGGATCCTGGCACCCATTTAAATGTGCTGGCCATGACTGCAGGCGTGACCCTCCAAGCCATGGCACCAGAGAAACTAGACTTCTGGGCCCACTTACACTTCCACAAGCACCTTAGTCTTTTATTTCTTTTTGACCTCCTGTGTGACCTGTGTGCTTCCCTAAAAAACAAAACAAAAAAACAACGATTTTAAGAAAAACTACGGGCCAGGTGTGGTGACTTATGTCTGTAATTCTAGCACTTTGGGAGGGCAAGGTGGGTGGATCACCTGAGGTCAGGAGTTCAAGACCAGCCTGGCCAACATGGTGAAACCCTGTCTCCACTAAAAATACAAAAATTAGCCACACATGGTAGCGGGCACCTGTAATTCCAGCAACTTGGGAGGATGAGGCAGGAGAATCACTTGAACCCGGGAGGTGGAGGTTGCAGTGAGCTGAGATCATACCACTGCAATCCAGCCTGGGTGGCAAGAGCAAGACTCCATCTCAAAAAAAAAAAAAAAAAAAAAAAAAAGGAAAGAAAAGAAAAGAAAAAAAAAGAAAAACTACATAATTGGGCAAAGCCTCTTTAAGGGAGGGGGCGTGCTAGATTGAACTTTATATCTTGCTATTATTATGGCCTGTGCTAAAGCATTTACCCTTAGAAAAATGGTTCTGGTTAACTTCTGGACTTAAAAATCCCCTTACTAATTAAGTACCATCTTAATCGGAGACAGAATAGGTGCCTTAAAGGAATGTAGGAACCGAATGGCCATTTTCCTGCCAATGGGACAATATTGAGACTAAAATTTGGCTATGGAAGACTTCTTAACTCCTAACTGCTAAAGGCAGAACTTTCCCATTTCAAGAAGAGGCCTAGAGCCTGATTTCTTTTTCTTTTTTCTTTTCTTGTTCTTTCTTTCTCTCTCTCTCTCTCTTTCCTTTTCTTTTCTTTTCTTTTTTTTGAGACCGAGTCTTGCTCTGTTGCCCAGGCTGGAGTGCAGTGGCGCGATCTCGGCTCACTGCAAGCTCTGCCTGCCGGGTTCACGCCATTCTCCTGCCTCAGCCTCCCGAGTAGCTGGGACTACAGGCGCCCGCCACCACGCCTGGCTAATTTTTTTTTGTATTTTTAGTAGAGACGGGGTTTCACTGTGTTAGCCAGGATGGTCTCGATCTCCCGACCTCATGATCTGCCCGCCTCGGCCTCCCAAAGTGCTGGGATTACAGGCATGAGCCACCGCGCCTGGCCGAGCCTGATTTCTAATCATGCAAAAAGAAGCTGCGGTTTGCCATGAAAAAATATGCTTTATGTAGAGGATTTCTATTTCTACTAGGTGGCACTGTTGGCTTAGAAATACTATGTGCTCACTAGAGACGTGGTAGTGAGTAACCTCACGGTGGGAGAAAGGGGAGAACTCTGTTCCTAGAAGATTGCAAGGGCATCTTCCTGATTTTGCCTAACAGGATTACTTTCCTAGGCTGTAAAACTCGCTACACATTTCACACAAAGAAAGTGTAAGAGACCGCAGATAGAGAAGGAAGGAGAGTTTTGTGACAAGATAGTTGAGGATTCTTTGCCAACACCCAGAATGGGCCGCCAGAGGCTGGGTCCAGTCCAGGGGCCTTTGAATCATGCCAGGGTGTGCTCTGGCCAGAAATTGTTAGTTGCCTTAGAACTTTTCCCAGCCTTGCACAATGGCGAGGTCTTCCCGTGAAAAGAAGCTGATTTAAAACATGGCCAACATTCCCAATGACCCAGGGGTGTTGGGGGGTTCTCCGTGTTCTCAGCAGCAAGCCTCACATTCGAGTCTTCAGTATGGCAGCCAACACTAAGTGTATGTACCCGGCTGACGGATGCCCATTGACTTATTTTATTTTAAAATAGAGGCTAAGAGTGCCTCGGAATGATAGAAGAGATTTTAAGCTCACTCCCATACTTACCACTCCGATGAGTGTCGTACCTTGGATTCCCGGCCAATGCAACAAAATGGTATGGCTCTGATGACTGGAGGAACACTAGGGTCCTTGGTCTCCCACTGGTTTGAATAAAACAACATGGGCACACGTGGAGTGGTTTTAAGGAGTGGAGAATTTAATAGACAAGAAAGAAGGAAGGAAGAGGCTCCCCCTGTTCTGAGACTGAGGGAGGCGGGCTCCAAGCTGAAAGAGGGAACCTCGAGTACGGTGGAAAACAGCCAGTTATATGAGGAGGCTGGAGGAGGCGGTACCTGATTTGCATAGGGCCCAGGGGATTGGTTTGACCAGGTATGTCATTCAAGTAGCCCACGAAAAAACTAGCCTTCCTACCCTAGCCTTTTAATATGCAAATACAGGCGCCATGATGTTCTACACACATGGGTGTATGTAGGGGCGGCCATGTTGCCAGGAACGTGGGGAAAAGAAGAAGAGGCGGGAGTCTCCATGTTTGGGTGGACGCAGTTTCTAATGGCCTGTATTTGCATATCAAAGCTTGCCTGCCCAGCTCTAAGAGCCAGGGCTTTTCTTCTAGACAAGAAACATTTATGGAGCTGCTTTAAAAGAAAAAAAAATCTTCCCAAGCACCCCTTTTCCTATCTACCTAAAATAATTTCTTAATAACTCCTATAACAACAACAAACATTATGAGCCCAGTTAATAGATACAATAACTGAGGCACAGAGATGTTGATTGCATTGTCCACAGTCACGCAGCTTGTAGGTGGTGCTCGTGGGGTTAGAGCCAGGTCTGTCTGACCCAACAGTCTGCATGTTTATGCACTTGGCTATAACACCTGAACAAATGCATGTTCAGGTGTGCCCAGCATGACCCATCCGACATCTGAGTTGGGTGTTCACTGTGGTATAGAACAGCTCTGAAATTGACTCCCAGAGTGTTATACCCCTTGGACCCAAGGCCTGCTAGGCCAGACGCCCCCCACCCCACCCCTTCTGCAGACGTATCTCCCCCTACCCTAAAGACCCTGCACAGTCCCCTCCCTCCTCTTTTTTACATAGTGACGATGCTTAAGCCCTGTGGCGCAGCCCTGCCAAAAAATGACACCTCTTTCGTTTAATAATTAAAAGCAGGAACTACCCACTCTATAAAAGGAAGTGAATGAGTAAGAAAGTCAAAGGCGGTCTAGATGTGCAGAAGGTGCAAGCCAGAGCTCAGGCAGAACTTCCAGAGTGCATCTGGGATCTGCATTTGCCACTGGTTGCAGATCAGGCGGACGAGGAGCCGGGAAGGCAGAGCCATGTGGCTGCCCCCTGCTCTGCTCCTTCTCAGCCTCTCAGGTGAGTGGGGCTGGGGCCTTGGGCGCTTGGTATGACAGGGGCAGGGCAGGAGGCAGAGGGCATTTGTCCTTCCACATCCAGGGAAATGAGAGGTGGCTTTGTGAAGTCATTCGACAAAGGTGCACTGGGGACTGACATCGTGTGCTTCGGGGCCTGAGGACATCAAGAAAAAAGAGGAGGAGAACTGGCCATTAAAGAAGACTCCAGGCTTGAGGCCATGGCTCACACCTATAATCCTAACACTTTGGGAGGCCAAGGTGGGAGGATTGCTTGAGTCCAGGCGTTTAAGACCAGTTTGGGCAACATGGTGAGACCTCGTCTCTATATAAAATGAACAAAAATTAGCTGGGCGTGGTGACCGTGCCTGTAGTCCCAGCTACTTGGGAGGCTGAAGCTGGAGGATCCTTTGAGCTCAGGTATTCAATTCTGCAGAGTTATGATCGCACCACAGCACTCCAGCCTGGGTGATACAGTGGGACCTTGTCTCAAAAAAAAAATAAAGTAAAAAGACTCCAGATGGCTTAGTGGGTGAGACATACACATAAACAATGAGCAATTGCAGGACACAATAAGGCATTGGTGGAGGCGTGTGCGGAGGATGAAGCAGTTCTCTCTGGTGACTAGAGAAAGACTCACGAAGCTGTGCACTTGATGTGCCTTGTAGAAGGAAGGTCAGTCTCTGGAGCAGAGCTGAGAGGAGAACACTCTAGAGAGTTGGGTGTGTGTGTGTGTGTGTGTGTGTGTGTGTGTGTGTGTGTGTTGGGGGACCTGGGCAGAGAGATGGAGGCTTAGAAAGAATGGTGGATTCATGCAGAGGGAGCTGTCAGTGTGCAGGATGTCTTGGAGGTGGCGAGTTGGATATGAGGTTGGAAACACAAAAGACAAGATTATGAAGGCCATCCACGCCAGGCTCAGGAGCTGAGACTTTCAAAGAAAAAACTTCTCAAGAACCCAGGTGGAAAGTGGGAAGGGCTAGATGATCTTCTCCATGGCAAACCTTGGTGGACACCTAGAGGGCATTAGGGGACAATCTAGAATTTTACGCAGGGTGTGCAATGTGTGTGGGCCACACAGTTTTCTGCTGGTGCCTAGGGACTGACCATCTGGCACAGATAGAGCAGTCCACGGAGGGACAACAGGAAAGAGCATGGCTGGGGAGTTCTGAGACCCGACTCCAGTCCTGGCTGGACTTCCACCCTTCAGCCCGTTCAACGGGGCTCTGCTCCAAGCTGACGGCTGCCCTGTCATTTCCATCTCTATCGTTCCTCATACCAACTCTTGACAACATATAGAAGCCTGATTAATAGTTCCAGCCATCATATTCTGTGGTTAGAGAAACCCCCAAATATTTTTTTAAACGGGACTAATTACATCGTGAGCCATTTACAGTTTGAATGACTGAAGCTGGGATTGATGACACTTTGTTCAATGCAGCAGCATCTCTTTTCTGCTGTTAGTGATTGCTGACAAATCCAATTTATGTTTTTGGGTATTTTGTTTTTGTTTTTGTTTTTTGTTTTTGAGACGGAGTTTCACTCTGTCACCCAGGTTGGAGTGCAGTGGTGCAACCTTGGCTCACTGCAACCTCCGCCTCCCAGGTTCGAGTGATTCTTCTGCCTCAGTCTCCCAAGAAGCTGGGATTAAGGTGCCTGCCACCATGCCTGGCTAATTTTTGTAATTTTAGTAGAGACAGGATTTCACCATGTTGGTGAGGTTGGTCTTGAACTCCTGACCTCAGGTGATCCACCCACCTTGGCCTCCCAAAGTGCGGGAATACAGGCATGAGCCACCGTGCCCGGCCCCGAAAAGACTTTTAGATGCTCAGGGCAAGTGCAGCTGATGAGGAGGAGGAGACAGTCTCAGTACCCAACTCAGGCAGCAGTATGGAGAGGAAAGCTGAGGGAGCTGTCAGTGTGCAGGACATCTTGGGGGTGGCGAGTTGGATATGAGGTTGGAAACACAAAAGACAAGATTATGAAGGCCATAATCCTCAGGAGAGGAGAGTTGGGGAGGATGCTGCTGGGGCTGGGAAGACCTCTCCAGATGCCACTGCCATGATCCAGGCACAGATGAAGTTCTGACCTGTTGATGAGCTGTCACTGACAGAGCAAACCCCAAATGTCTGGCGTTGGACATACATCCAAGTCTTCTTTTAAATTTAAAAATAAATAATTTTTTGAAGACAGTGTCTCACTCTGTCACCCAGGCTGAAGTGCAGTGGTGGGCGATTATAACTCACTGCAGCCTTGAACTCTCAGGCTCAGGCGATCCTCCCACCTCAGCCCCCCAAGCAGTGGGGACCACAGGCATGCACCACCACTCCTGGCTAATCTTTTGCATTTGCAGACACAGGGTTTCACCATGTTGCCCAGGTTAGTCTGGAACTCCTGGGCTCAAGCGATCCTCCTGCCTCAGCCTCCCACAGCTTTGGAATTACAGGCATGAGCCACCTTGCCCAGCCTACACACATCCAAGTCCTATTACCACCTTCAAAGTAGAGCGTAGCATGACTGTCTTATGAATAAGGAAGCGATACTTGCAGAGGTTAAGCAACTCTGCCAGGGTTTCCCAACTAGTTCAGTGTCAAGTCTTTCTGCATCAAAGCTCACACTCTCTCTGATGTCATGCTGTCCTTGTGGCCTGCGATGGCAGAGACTGAAAGAAGAAAAAAAAAAACTGAGGAGCATCTCTAGGATAGAGCTGACTAAACTGGCTACCAATCAGCTCGGGGGCTGAAGGAGAGGACAGCATGAAAGAAGATGCCAAGCTCTTCCTGAAGGCTGGGTGGTGGAGCTGCTGGTTTGAAGAGAATCAAGTTGGTTCTGCTGATTGAATGCCATGTGAATTTCCAGTGGCTGCTGTAACAAATTAACATGAACTCTATGGCTTAGAACTGCACAATTTCATCATCTCATTGATGCTTCTGAAGACCAGAGCCTGGCGTGGTCTTACTGGTTAAAATTGAGGTGCAAGTAGGGTTGGGTTTCTTTAGAGCAGTGGTCCCCAACCTTTTTGGCACCAGGATCCGGTTTTGTGGAAGACAATTTTTCCACATCAGGAGTGGGGTGAGGATGGTTTGGGATGATTCAAACGCATTACACTTATTGTATACTTTATATTACTATTATATTATAATATATAATGAAATGATTATACACTGCACCATAATGTAGAATCAGTGGGAGCCCTAAGCTTGTTTACCTGCAACTAGATGATCCCATCTGGGGGTGATGGGAGACAGTGACACATCATCAGGCATTAGAGTCTCATAAAGTGTGTGCAATCTAGATCCCTCACACACGAAGTTCACAATAGGGTTCTCACTTCTATGAGAATCTAATGCGGCCGCTGGTCTGATGGGAGGCGGAGATCAGGTGGTAGTTTGAACAACGGGGAGTGGCTGTAAATACAGATGAAGCTTCGCTTGCTTGCCCACCGCTCACCTCCTGCTGTAAGGTCCGGTTCCTAACAGGCCATGGGCTGTTACTAGTCTGTTGTCCTGGGGTTGGGAACCCCTATTCTAGGGGAGAATCTGTTTCCCTGCATTTTCCAGCTTCTAGAAGCCATCTGCTTTCCTTGGCCGGTGGCCTCTTCTTCCACTTCAAAGCAGCAACAGACCATCTTCCAATTGGACTCTCCCTCAACCCTCTTTCACTTAGAATATCCATGGAGATTATTCGGGATATTCTTCCTGTCTCAAGGTCCTTAACTTCATCACATCGGCAGAGTCCCTCTGGCCATGTCAGGGGACATATTCGCAGGTTCTGTGTATGAGGATGCCAACAGCTATGGGGGACATTATTCTACCAACCACGAATGCAAAGTTCAAGAAAACTAACACAGCTTCAAGGAGAAGGCCCAAGCTGTGAGGAGGCGGCATCTGCCTGGAGAAATAGACCTGGCTTTCTCCACCCTGCAGAGACCCCTGGCCTGGGCCTGAAGCTCTGAGGCCAAGAGACAGTCAAGAGAGGCTTCCCCTGTGATTCTCTGCCTGTTTATCCACTTCTGCGTGATCAAGAAACCCGTGTCATTGCCAAGGAAAGAGCCTATCTACACACAGCCTAACTGGAGTCAATCAGCGGAGGCACGGACTGCCATTTGATTATGCTCACCTCTAACCTGTTCAGCTTTCACCAGGCCTTTGTTACTCTTGCCACATCCAATTGCTCCACTAGAAAAAAATACTGAAGAAGAGTAGTTCAGGGTGGGAGAGGAAGTGCATTCAATTCTGCAACGAAGGAATCTGGGGTGGAGACATCCAGTGTGTCTTTGTAAATGGTGGGCTAGCTAAGGGGAGTCTGAGCTGCAAATATGGATTTGGGAATCATCAGGAAACAGGTAATCATTAAAGCCATGGAAATGGAGAGACTCCCTCCATGGAGGCTTGTCAGGTGAGACAAGATGAAGGCTGGAGAGGGAACCCTGGGTACCCCCGCAGTGTGCTGGGGCTGGCTCACAGGAGCTGGCTTGGGACATCTTTTCCCAGCTCTGTGTCCAGTGACATCACATGGATTACCTGACATCTGCCACCGTGGGAGTATTTACACTATGGAATTTGGCAAATATTAAAACCAGATTTTTTTTCTTTTTCTTTTTCTAGACAAGAGTCTCACTCTGTTGCCTAGGCTGGAGTGCAGTGGTGCGATCTCAGCTCACTGCAACCTCCGCCTCCCGGGTTCAAGCAATTTTCATGCTTCAGCCTCCCGCATAGCTGAGACTACAGGTGACTGCCACCACGCCCAGCTAATTTTTGTATTTTTAGTAAAGACTGGGTTTCACCATGTTGGCCATGCAGGTCTCGAACTCCTGACCTCAGGTGATCTGCCCACCTTGGCTTCCCAAAGTGCTGGGATTACAAGTGTGAGCCACCGTGCCCAGCTCCTAAACCAGAGATTTTTTCCCCCAGAGGGCTGGTTGTTAAATATTTGGCTCCGATGAAAACAGCATTGAGAGGACAAGGAAAGAAGGTGGTAGGAGACCATGGTGTCACATGCTAAGCAGGTCTAGAAGCTGGTGGGGGAATGGACTGAGAGGGAGATGGGGATGAGGAATCGGGTGTGCTAGAGACACACTCGGGACTCTTAAACACCAAACTGGCTCAGGCAACAGGAGCTGTATCTTGGGATTTTGTTTTCCAGGCTGTTTCTCCATCCAAGGCCCAGAGTCCGTGAGAGCCCCAGAGCAGGGGTTCGTGCCGGTGCAATGAGCTGTATCTTGGGATTCTGTTTTCCAGGCTGTTTCTCCATCCAAGGCCCAGAGTCTGTGAGAGCCCCAGAGCAGGGGTCCCTGACGGTTCAATGCCACTATAAGCAAGGATGGGAGACCTACATTAAGTGGTGGTGCCGAGGGGTGCGCTGGGATACATGCAAGATCCTCATTGAAACCAGAGGGTCGGAGCAAGGAGAGAAGAGTGACCGTGTGTCCATCAAGGACAATCAGAAAGACCGCACGTTCACTGTGACCATGGAGGGGCTCAGGCGAGATGACGCAGATGTTTACTGGTGTGGGATTGAAAGAAGAGGACCTGACCTTGGGACTCAAGTGAAAGTGATCGTTGACCCAGGTAAGAACTTTCTCATCTACACAAGGAGGCCCTGGAGCTCAGGGCTGGGAAAGTCAGTGCTCTTACCTGCTCCCCTCCAAGGCTGAAAGGGAATGATGGTGAGCCTAAGAGAGAGAGAGAGAGAGACAGACAGACAGACAGGCAGACAAACTGACTGGGAAGGAGGTGACAGAAACTAAGGGAGAGTGGTGGCCAGCATCGCTCTGCTATCTCAGTCCCTGAGGTCTCTCCAAGGAATCCAGGTGGGGCTTGGGATGGGGGTGGGAATGGGGACCTCAGCTTTGGTGACTGGTGGCCCAGCCCTGCTCATGACATGGCAGAGAAGGAACCTAGAGCTGCCCAGGGGGTCCTAGTATTGAGTCCCACTAACTGCACCAACCCAGAGTAGCTCTGGGTGTCTTACAACACCCTCCTCTCTAGGTCCCCAGCCACCTGCTCCGCTACTTTATCTGGCTGTGTAAGATGAGCACGGGGTAAGAAAGCCCCAGGGAGGTGCATGGGTGACAGTGGACGCTTTAAAGCAAAAGGATGGCTTCCATCACGGGCAACGTCAGGGACCACTCTGGGTGCCCTGGCTTCTCCTCCATGCCTTGGACTCTACTGATAGACTCTGGGGTCATCCTGCTGCTGTTGCTGGAGTCTGGGAAGCAGCCCCCAACCCCCACTTCCACCCGCACACCCCTACTCAGTACTTCATCAGCTCAGTGTCCACTCGGGTCCATTTGGTGGTGATGTGGAAATAGACAATGCCGGCTTTAGAACAAGCCTGTGTACTGTTGGGGTTGGGACCAAAGAGGCACATGGACACAGTGGCTGCAGCTGAGTAAAGAGGAGTCCAGAAAGGGTCAAGCAAGACTTCCCCAGGGCTGCCAAGTAGGGGAAACCCAGAATATCTATGGGGGCAGAGAGGGGATTGAGCAAGACATGCAGGCGGTACAAAGAGACAAAAAACAGTGGCCAGTGTGGAGCTTTAGGGAGAGAGATGTTCCGGAGTCTTGGGTGGGGGATCTACAGGGGTACCAGCCTGTAAAACGATCAGGGGCTCCATAGGAACTGTTGTGATTGGAATTACCTGCAGCTCAGACAGGAGCCCACCTAGTGTGGCCAAAGCCTGGGACTTTTTTGTTTTGTTTTGTTTTATTTTGTTTTGTTTGTTTTTTGAGACAGGGTTTCAGTCTGTAGCCCAGGCTGGAGTGCAGTGGGGTGAACTTGACTCACTGCAGCCTCGACCTCCTGGGCTCAATCAATCCTTCCACTTCAGCTTCCTGAGTAGCTGGGACTACAGGGGCACATGACCACGCCTGGTTCATTTTGTATTTTTTGTAGAGATGGGATTTCACCATGTTGCCCAGGCTGGTTTCAAACTCCTGGCCTCAAGCGATCTGCCTCCCTTGGTCTTCCAAAGTGCTGGGATTACAGGCGTGAACCACCGTGCCTGGACAGCCTGGGACCTTTGAGAAAAATTTGCTGGGGCCGAGGACTGAAATAAAAGATCACTGTTGGGTCATGGATACTCAGTGCTGGGCTGGGCTCAGGGCCCCCCTGACCAGACTGCCCCCAACAAATTGCCTATATGGTTGCTCCTAAAAATGTTCCGTTTCTCATAGTCGATGTTCTCTAGTTAACTGGAGTGTGCCCTTTTCTTCATGAGCCTTCTGGAGTCCCCTTTCCCTTTTTCTGGACTACCCCAATTTCTGGACAGCCCATTTCCAGAATCTTCTCTCCTTAAGCCCTGCTCAGGCACCACTCCAGTGGAAAAGACCAGAAATTTATTTCCCCATCCAATAGTCCCACTTGCAGGATAGGTGGAAAGAAAGTATGAAAAAACCTCTCTCTCCCAGAATAAACTACAGTGTTTACTCCTGTTTAATTTTTAATTTTTCTTGCCACATCTGAACATGATGAGGAAAAATGTCTGTGTGTTGAGATTGAAGTGACTCAGTAGAAGCATGAGGGGCTGTAGCAGGAGAGAAAAATCCTCCTACTCCAGGGAAAAGGGTCTTCTGGTGAGGGCTGGCAGGGTCGCGTGGCTTTGTGACCCATGCATGAGCTCCCAACTGTGCTAATAACCCATGGCTGACTTTGCCTGTGTCTAGAGGGAGCGGCTTCCACAACAGCAAGCTCACCTACCAACAGCAATATGGCAGTGTTCATCGGCTCCCACAAGAGGTGAGTCATGTGGTTCTTTCTCCTGCCCCTACCTGGGGTCCCTCCTAAGGGGAAGCCAAGCCTGGGAACTCCTGCCTGTCACCAAATGCCAGCACCTGTTCTAGCCAGAGTCAAGGCCCCAAGCCCACCCTCCATCTCTCTCCTGCCCCCATCACTGCAATCCACCATCTCCCCACTCTAGCTCTCACCAGAAAACCGCTCTGCAGAACTCTTCTCAGTGAGCATCATTCTCCCAGTCAATCAGTCAACCTTGCATTGGTGGCCTAATGGGTGCCAGGGGGAGATAAGATACCACCCTCTGTGGTGCAAGACATCAAGGGACACAGAACAGGAAGGGTGATTTACCAGCCTGGAGCTAGCATTAGCAGGAACAGAGGCAGGAAACACAACCTGTATTTGGTGACCTCTGGCGCTTCTGTTGAGCTGAGATGTACTTTGGGCAAAGAGGGTCCCAGAAGGTGATGTTAGAAAGGAAGATGGGCCCCGTGCAAAACCAGCCAAGGTGACTGTTGGAGGACCCCTTGAGGTTGAACCAAGGAGGAGGTTTACAGGAATCTTCAGAGTGGGGCTGCCCGGCCCAGGGTCACAGGCTTTGGCTGGTGGCTCACAGGGTCAGGGGATGGGAGTGACATGGCCTGGGGATGCCCAGGGCTCTGACCACTGCATCCCCTTCCCCAGGAACCACTACATGCTCCTGGTATTTGTGAAGGTGCCCATCTTGCTCATCTTGGTCACTGCCATCCTCTGGTTGAAGGGGTCTCAGAGGGTCCCTGAGGAGCCAGGGGAACAGCCTATCTACATGAACTTCTCCGAACCTCTGACTAAAGACATGGCCACTTAGAGAGATGGATCTGCAGAGCCTTCCTGCCCTGGCCACGTTTCCAGAAGAGACTCGGGCTGTGGAAGGAACATCTACGAGTCCTCGGGATGCAGTGACTGAGATAGGGGCCCTGGGCCTCCGCCCTGGCCTTGGAGCTGGTGGGCACCTCCCTGTTCTGCACAGCTCAGGGACTTAGCCAGGTCCTCTCCTGAGCCACCATCACCTCCTGGGGTGCCAGCACCTGTTCTCTTGGTCAGGAGCTGTAGAGATGGAGCTCAAGCACTGGACGACTCTGTCCCCACTGCTGGAATAACTCGGGCACAGAGCATGGGACCAAAGTACAGAAAGAGGTTGGGGGAGACCCCCCCAGCCCTAGACTTCCATCATTCCGGAGACCAACTCAACACCGTCTTTGCCTGAGAACCTGATATATCCGTGTTTTTAAATTTTTTTTTTTCTAGCAAAGTTGGGTTTTAATGACTTATGTTCATAGGAAACCTCTCTGATCCCACACACAAGGAGGGTGATTCTGGGATGAGTTCCTGGTTCTAGGGCATGAGGGGCTGGATGGACCCTGTCCCCAGGGAGGACATGGCTCTGAGTCCACAGGGCTGAGGAGGCAATGGGAACCTCCCTGGCCCGGCCCGGTGCTTGTCCTCCCCCTCCCACCTCTTCCTCCTCCTAGCTCCCCAAGCTCCCTGCCTATTCCCCCACCTCCGAGGGGCTGCAGCTTGGGAGCCTCCTCAGCATGACAGCTTGGGTCTCCTCCCCAAAAGAGCCTGTCAGGCCTCAAGAACCACCTCCAGGTGGGGAGGGCAGTAACGAAAACCATCGCAGGAAATGGCACCCTCCCTTTTCGGTGATGTTGAAATCATGTTACTAATGAAAACTGTCCTAGGGAAGTGGTTCTGTCTCCTCACAGGCTTCACCCACGGCGATGAGGCCCTTGAATGTGGTCACTTTGTGCTGTATGGTTGAGGGACCCTCACACCAAAGGGACCTTCCCATGTGAGATGTGCTCCCGCCCCCACCTGCCCACAAGCAAACACACCACACATGTTCGGCATGTTGCCCTTTGAACACCCATGAGGACGCCTCCAACCTGCTCTTGGTTCTAATAGGGAGTACTGACTGTCAGCAGTGGATAAAGGAGAGGGGACCCTCTGGTCCCTAGCATGGCACCCAGAGCCTCCCCTCTTCTTGTCCTTCAGCCAAAGAGAAACTTTCTCTGACTTTGAACTGAATTTAGGTCTCTGGCCAATGATGGGCCTGAAAATTCCATAATGGCCAGAGAGGAGAGTTCGAGCCCGGCTAAGATCCCCTGAGTCATTCTGTGAGGGACCAAGACCCACAGTCCACCAGCCCCAGGGCCCTACCTCCTGGAATGCTTTCCTGGATCCAGCTTCCCGAAGATCCGACCAGACCCAGGGAGGACGGCACCGCTCCGCGGGAGGGAAAGCCAAAGCATGGTGCTTCACCAGCTGGACTCAGGGGCGAGGGGACATGGGCGCTTGTCAACGTGATGTCATTCTTTTCCCACCGTTTCTTCCTGTTGATATTCAATGAATCCGTCAATCTCTCTGGAGCTAGTGTGGCTGGGTTGTTATTCTCGTGGCTCTGTTAAGGAGAATCCACTGGAGTAAAGTAGGCATCTATTGTCTGTCTGCCCAACTACCACCCACCGCGCACGCCCTTACACCACCACCCCTTGTACACATCTCTAGGAATACCCCTTGGGGTTCCAACACAAGCTGACAAGCAAGGCTTGCCTAATACGCCCATTCTCTGGGGTAGGGAGAAAGACGGAAGTCAATAAATGAGTCACTAGTGCTGGCATTGCATTTTCCAGCAAATATGTTTCCATTGGGAGCTTGGAGCCAAAGCCGTCATGCCCTTAAATAGCCACAGACCATGAGGATTCGGCATATGCTGATTTTCACACTTAATGGAACCAAAAGTTAGTGAGGCCGGGCATGGTGGCTCCCGCCTGTAATCCCAGACCTTTGGGAGGCTGAGGCAGGTGGATCACCTGAGGTCAGGAGTTCAAGACCAGCCTGGCCAACATGGCAAAACTGCTGTCTCTACTAAAAATACAGCAATTAGCTGGGTGTGGTGGTGTACACCTGTAGTCCCAGCTACTCAGGAGGCTGAGGCAGGAGGATCACTTGAACCCGGGAAGTGGAGGTTGCAGTGAGACGAGATGGTGCCATTGCACTTCAGCCTGGGTGACAGAGGACAGAGCGAAACTCTGTCTCAAAAAAAAAAAAAAAGTTAGTGGGCAGGTGTGGATCTTGCTCTTTTAAGAAAAAAGCACAGCTTTTCCTTCCCCATGAGGCCCTTCCCACAGGCCTTTACTTCTGAACAACTGCATAGCCACAGAGGAAGTTCAGAGCCGAGGGCAGCTGGCTAGGGGCAGTAAAGAGATAGCAGCGGGAAGGGCCCTCACCAGAGAGGCAGACATGGGTTCCTTCTTCTTCCCCTTTTTAAAAATTGTGGTAAAAAATGAACAAACAAAAAACACCTAACATGAAATCTGCCCTCTTAACAAACTCTTAGGTGTGTGGTAAAATATGATTAATTATATGCACATTGTTGTACAGCAGAGTTCTAGAACTTTCTCACCTTGCATGACTAAATCATGCCCATTGAGTAGCAACTCTCCCTCCCACTCCTCCACCAGCCCCCGGCTGCCACTATTTTACTTTTTGCTTCTATGAGTGTGACTAGTTTAGTTACCTCATGTAACCAGAACCATGCAGCCTTTAACCTGTGACTGTCTTATTTTAGTTAGCATAATGTCCTCAAGATGCATCCATGTTGTTGAATACGGCAGGATTTCCTTCTTTGTTAAGGCTGAATAAAATTATATTCCATTGTAAGATAAAGAATACGTGGCACATATACATAATGGAATACTGTTTAGATGTAAGAAAGAACAAAATTCGACTGGGCGCGGTGGCTCACGCCTGTAATCCCAGCACTTTGGGAGGCCGAGGCAGGCGGATCACGAGATCAAGAGATCAAGACCATCCTGGCCAACATGGTGAAACCCTGTCTCTACTAAAAATGCAAAAATTAGCTGGGCCTGTTAGTGTGTGCCTGTAGTCCCAGCTACTCAGGAGGCTGAGGCAGGAGAATCGCTTGAACCCAGGAGGTGGAGGTTGCAGTGAGCCAAGATCCTGCCACTGCACTTCAGCCTGGCGACAGAGCAAGACACCGTTTAAAAAAAAAAAAAAGAACAAAATTCTATCATTTGTGGCAACATGGATGAGCTTGGAGGACGTTATGTGAATGAAATAAGTCAGGCCCAGAAAGAGAAATACTGCATGTTCTCAAGTTGATCTCAAGACATAGAGAATAGAACAGTGGTTATTAGAGGTGGGGCAGTGTGTTGGGGGTTAGGGGATAGCCAGAGATTTGTTAACAGATACAAAAGTACAGCTGCATAGGCAGAATAAATCCTCGTGTGCTATAGCACTAGGGGATGTCTATAATTGTCAACAACTTATTGTATATTTTCAAATAGCTAGAAGAGTAGATTTTGAATGTTTCCAACACAAAAGTGAGGTGATGGATATGCTGATTACCCTTATTTGATCATTACACATTATATACATGTATCAAAATATCACAATGTGCCCCATAAATGTCTGATTATGTGTCAATTAAAAATAGTAATAATTTTTAAAAGAAAATAAATAGAAGAAAAAACTGTGTTCTCAGCCTACTTTCAAGCACACTATAAAATATTTTGTTCTCATCCCCCACTAAAATATTATTCCATTGTGTATTAGCCTGTTTTCACACTGCCGATAAACACATACCCAAGACTGGGCAATTTACAAAAGAAAGAGGTTTATTGGACTTACAGTTCCACATGGCTGGGGAGGCCTTACAATCATGGTGGAAGGCAAGGAGGAGCAAGTCACATCTTACATGGATGGCAGCAGGCAAAGAGAGAGAGCTTCTGCAGGGAGACTCCCGTTTATAAAACCATCAGATCTCATGAGACCCATTCACTACCACCAGAACAGCACGGGGAAGCCCTGCCCTCATGATTCAGTCATCTCCCACCAGGTCCCTCCTACAACATGTGGGAATTATGGGAGCTACACGATGAGATTTGGGTGGGGACACAGAGCCAAACCGCATCACATTGTATGTACATATCACACTTTCTTTATCCATTCATCCATTGATGGACGTTTAGGCTGTTTCCATCTCTTGGTTATTGTGAATAATGCTGCTTCCAATGAACATAGGCATGCAGATAGCACTTTGCAATCCTGTTTTCAGTTTTTCTGGATAAATACCCAGAAGTGGGACTTCTGGATCATATGATAGTTCTATTTTTAATTTTTTGAGTAACCTCAATACTATTTCCCATAATAGCAGCTACACCATTTTACCTCCCCACCAATAGTGCACAAGGGTTCTAGTGTCTCCACATTCTCACCAGCATTTGTTGTTTTCTGTTGTTTTATACATGTTGTTTCTATACATATATATATACACATTCTCACCAGCATTTGTTGTTTCTGTTGTTTTATACATGTTTTTATACACACATATATACACACACACAATGGCTATTCTAACAGGTGTGAAGTGATATCCCATTGTGGTTTTGATTTGCATTTTCCTGATAATGAGTGGTGTTGAGCATCTTTTCATGTATTTATTGGCTATTTGTAGATTTCTTCTGGAGAAATGTCAAGTCCTTTGCCCATTTAATCGGGCCTTTTTTTTTTTTATTGTTTTAGGAGTTCTGTCTATATTTGGGATATAATTCCTTATCAGATATGTAATTTGCAAATATTTTATCCCATTGTGTGAGTTGCCTTTTTACTCTGTTGATATTGTCATTTGGTGCACAAATTTTGAAATTTTAGCCAGACATGGTGGTTTGCACCTGTAATCCTGGCTACTCAGGAGGCAGAGGTGAGAGGATCACTTGGACTCAGGAGTTTGAGGCTGTGGTGCGCCATGATCATGCCAGTAAATAGCCACTGCATTTCAGCCTGGGCAGCATAGCAAAACCCCCATCTCTTAAAAAAAAAAAGATATGAGTCAAAAACACATAATTTAAATTTTCATGAAGTTCCATTTGTCTGTGTTGTTGTTGTTGTTGCCTGTCCCCTCAGCATCATGTCTATGAAATCACTGGCAAATCCAATGCTGTGAAACTTTTGCCTTGTGTTTTCTTCTAAGAGTTTTATGGTTTTAGATCCTACATTTAGGTCTTTGATCCATTTGAGTTAATTTTTGTCTATGTTATTAGGGAAGGCTCCAGTGTCATTCTTTTGCATATGAATTTCCAGTTTTTCAATTATTACTATTTTTTTAAAAAATCATTTCCCTTACTCGCAAGTAGGTAGTTTCTAGTCCAAGATTTTATCTGGGAGGTAGTGCCTTTGAGTATTCTGATCGTTAAGTGGAGTCTCAGACACAGCGCCCATTTTGGGTGGTCTAAGCCTATTGCTCCCCCAAGCCCTGCAGTTCATCCCCTAAATACTAGCCTCTCTGTAAGGTCAGCCACTGATCATGGCAGCCACTGCTTCCTCTCTTGTTTCACTGTTAATTGCTGATTTGGGGCTTTTGGTTTGTTTGTTTGGCCTTGGTGGTGTCCTTGGAATTGGTTGATACAAGTTCCTTCTTGCTCTGTGGTCATGGCCTCAGAACTGTCTTCATCCTAAGGCAGCAGAGAGAGATCTCTGAAGTAGGCAGCAGAGAGAGATCAGCCCAGACACCAGACACAAGGACTTCTGAGGAAGAAAACCAGACCACTGATCCCAGAAGTTTCCCAGAGTCCCCACCCCCATCACATCCCCTCAATGTCTCATTGGCTGCTTCAGACTCTGGTGACCACCCCTAGCTTAATTACTGACAAGGTGATTGGGACCAGCTTCCAGCTGGGACTATCCTCCCCTGATTCACATTTGGAAGGGTGGATGGCCAGACCTGGTGATGGCTCCATCCTGGAGTGGAGTTGGGTAGGAGGAGACAAAAACGCCTGTTGCAGAAGTCTTGCTGGACCCCGCTCCATTCTGAGCCTCCTCCTGGGTCTTTCTAGACCACTGTGCCTCCATCTTTGTGAACACAACAAGCTCCTGCCCTCACACCCTCTCCTGAGGCAGGTTGGAGGGGTCTCTGTGGGCTGCAGCATCAGGAACTTGACCCTTTCTCCCCCTCCTCAGCTTCTCAGCTCCATCTCCTCCAGGGCCATGGCAACTTTCTTTCTGCAAACAGAAGCCTCCGCGAGGACACAGGCTCCTCACAGCTGAAGTCCTGTGCAAGCCAGCATCCCCCACCATCATCCTTTTGTCTCAGTACTAACCCAGGCAACTGTACCACTGGCCAAAAAAAAAAAAAGTACTTTGATGGTTAATACTGAATGTCAACTTGATCAGATTGAAGGATGCAAAGTATTGTTCCTGGGTGTGTCTGTGAGGGTATTGTCAAAGGAGATTAACGTTTGAGTCAGTGGAATGGGAAAGGCAGACCCACCCTCAATCCGGGTGGGCACCATCCAATCAGCTGCCAGTGTGGCCAGAATAAAAGTAGGCAGAAGAACATGAAAGACTAGATTGGCTAAGTCTTCCAGCCTCCACCTTTCTCCCATGGTAAATGCTTCCTGCCCTTGAACATCGGACTCCAAGTTCTTCAGCTTCTGGACTCTTGGACTTACACCAGTGATTTGCCAGGGGCTCTTGGGCTTTCAGCTACAGACTGAAGGTTGCTCTGTCAGCTTCCGTACCTTTGAGGTTTTGGTACTTGGACTGGCTTCCTGGCTCCTCAGCTTGCAAACAGCCTATTGTGGGACTTTACCTTGTGATTGTGTGAGTTCATTTTCCTAATAAACTCCCCTTCATATATATATATATATCTCCTATTAGTTCTGTCCCTCTAGAGAACCCTGAGTAATACAAGTACTAAACTTTATTTAGCTGCCAATTTCTGTTCTAAATCTATGTTTGTCAGGGAACAACTGGTCTGCAAATGCTAATGGCTTTACCTTGGCTCTCCTTCCTTACTTACTCACAAGCAGGTAGTTTCTGGTCCACCATTTTACCTGGGAGATAACGCCTTTGAGTATTCTGGCCGTAAGTGGAGTCTCAGACACAGCTCCCCACTTTGGGTGGCCTCAAGAACACACCCACGGAGGGAGTGTTCTAACCTCAGGGCATCCTTGGGGGCATCAATCAAGGAGAGATGGGGCCACAGGCCTGAGAGCAGGAAGCTGCAGAATTCTCCAAGGCACTGCTCAGGGTCCCCAGTCCAGAGGTCTCCTGTGTGTGGATATAGAATCTAGTGTGACCCTTTGACAGAGACGCCTCGTTGAGCCTTTGTGTCAGAGACACCACTTTTCATCCATTAATGATCGGCCATTTATCATGATGCAAGAGGAGAAAGAGAAAACAGGGGGTTCCAGCAAGGCCAGAGCAGCCAGAGATGGTGAACGATGTCACCCAACATCTGGCTCCCAAGTTTATGGAGGAAGAAGGGGATGTTTTGTGTCTTCTGGGGTTTCCTTTGGTAATGTGTCCCTGTGGTGGCCCTTGGTGTGCTATGATGAGCCACCTGCAGCAGTCAGCACTAGGAAGCCCCAGTAGAGATTGTGTTACCAGCGTGGCAGAGAACTCACAGCCTCTCCCCTGCTTGGTGAACAGGTGCTCCCCCTGGAATCATATGACATCAATCACCCATCACATGATCACCCATGATGTGACATCACCCATCACATGATTGCCCATCACGTGATGTCGCCCATCACGTGATATTGCCCATCACATGACATCACCCATCATATGATCGCCCATCACGTGATGTCGCCCATCATGTGATATCACCCATCACGTGACATCACCCATCACATGATCACCCATCACATGACATCACCTATCACATGACCACCCCCGCATGACATCACCCATTACATGATATCACCCATCACATGACCACCCATCACATGACATCACCTGTCACATGATCACCATCACATCACCCATCACATGATTGCCCATCACATCACCCATCACATGACATCACCCATCACATGACCACCCATTACATGACAGCACCCATCACATGATCACCCATCACATGACATCCCTGTCACATGACATCACTCATCACATGATCACCTATCACATGACATCACCCATCACATGACATCACTCATCACATGATCACCCATCACATGACATCACCTGTCACATGACCACATGTCACATGGCATCACCCATCACATGACATCACCCATCACATGATCACCTGTCACATGATCACCTGTCACATGACATCACCCATGATATGACATCACCCATCACATGATCACTTGTCACATGATCACCCATCACATGACATCACCCATCACATGACATCACCCATCACATGATCGTCGATCACATGACATCACCTATCACATGACCACCCCCACATGACATCACCCATTACATATCACCCATCACATGACCACCCATCACATGACATCACCTGTCACATGATCACCCATCACATGACATCGCCCATCCCATCACCCATCACATGACATCACCCATCACATGACCACTCATCACAGGATCACCTTGTCACATGACCACCTGTCACATGGCATCACCCATCACATGACATAACCCATCACATGGCATCACCCATCACATGACATCACCCATCACATGACATCATGCATCACATGACATCACCCATCACATGACATCACACATCACATGACATCACCCATCACATGACATCACCCATCACATGACATCACCCATCACATGACATCAATGTCCCATAGATAAGCAGAACACTAAATTGATTCTGTAGAGTGAATATGGGATGGAAAAATCCAACTCTAATCATACCCTACTCACCAAGCAGGAAAGACATGCATAAGCTTCACCTGAAAGTCTTATTTTAGGGCATTGTTGTGTAATCCCAGCATTTTGGGAGGCTGAGGCAGGATGTTTGCTTGAGCCCAGGAATTTGAGACCAGCCTGTACTGGCAAGACCCCCCATCTCTATAAAACATTTAAAATAATAAATAAATAAATAAATAAATAAATAAATAAAAACAAAGGCTGTGATTCCAGGAGCAGAATATTTGGTAATGGAACATAAAGAAAGACAAAGGCCAGGCAGGCCATTCGAGGCATCAGTTCAAGTCCATGCCCATGAGCTGCCTCCTGCCTGCTCAGGCAACCTCCCAGGCAGCTGAAATCAGAAAAACAGATGAGGGTCACAAGCATTCAGCTTCCTGGAAAGGAGTGTCCCCAAAATAAATCACTTGAGTTATTGTAGGGTCTCAGTCTCTCTTCTTGTCTGGATGGTGGTCGGGTTCTAGATTTGCAGGAATGAGGACCAGACCCAGGTAAATTCACCAAAGTCGTATCCCAAGAGGAGATCTCCCAACCATGGCCTTTGCATCGTTTAACTCATCAACCTCAGAAGCACTGGGGGGATTGACCCAACCACATGAAACCAGGTTTCCATGGCCCATTTTAGAAGGTAGAATCATCCCCAGGGGCACAGGTAACATATGTCCATCTGCTGGGCCCCAAGCCCAGCACATTCTCCTTAACTCCCACCTCAATGTCACCACTTCATGTCCTCATTAAATCCCACAAGAGGGAGGTCAGAAAGAAGTTCTGAACTTTTTCTGACCTCCCTGCAGTGGGATGAATTTGAGACTCAACACAGGCAGTCGGGGGAGGGAAGAGGAACTTATATCATGAGTTGATAACAGCACTGCGTGACTTGTGCACTCGCCGCATTTTAAAGGCTGGCAGTACCCCATTTTCACAATGTCCATCTCATCTGTCCTCCCTGACAGCTCAGGGTGGTAGGCCAGGCTATTCTTGAGTCCACACTGGACAAGGCTGTAAATAGACTTGAGTCACCTTATTTGAGCTGAGTTCCTTTACCCGTGAAGTACCCTTTGAGTCATCCTTCGGGTACACCCCCTCACCAACCTAAACCTTAGTTTTTATAGCTGCAAGACGGATGGTGCATGACCTCTTCTTCCCCTTTCAGCCCCAACTTTCCATGACTCTGAGTCAGTTTCCATGACTCCCAGTTCAGGCCATTCTAGTCACCAACCAGGCTGGGCTGCCTCAGCCAGCACAAAATTTGAAGCTGGGGGGACTTGCTGCTTCAAAATATCTATAGAGAGTGGCTTTTTCTAAAGTCAACCTCTAAATCTCTGTCCCCAGGAGGAAGGATGTTCGCATTGACAAAGGGTGGAGGCAAGTATTGGGCCCAGTACTAGGGCCCCAGTGATAGGTCCACATTTGAGATAACAGGGAGGCCGGAAGCTCTGCCCTTAGCACACCTTCCTTGCCAGGTGGAAGCTCCCAATGTAGGCTTTGGAGGTCTGTTCCCTCAGGCACGTGGACTCAGGCTGTGCTTCATGCATTGGTCTGGAGCCTTGGAGCAGGCCTGGAAGAGGCTGTATCTCAGATTTGTGTTCTTCAGGATGTTTCTTACCCAGCATTTTGGACACTGAGCATCTGATTGTGAGGATGGAGTCCACACACTGAATGCGTGTGATTCTCTGGTGAGCAGTGTAACTTGAACTCCAGTGGAAGACTGCCAGGCCATGGAGGTGTTGGCAGCAGCCTGGGACTTCAGCTGAAATGTGACTCAGGCCACAGGGCCAGTCAGACAATTCAGGAAAACATGTCCTCAGCAAACAACCAAATAAGGCACCAGGGACCAATCCTGGAGAAACAGGGACCTTTCAGACAGAGAATTCAAAATAGCTGTTTTGAGGAAGCTCAGTGAAATCCAAGATAACTCAGAGAAGGAATTCAGAATCCTATCACATAAATTTAATGAAGAGATCAAAATAATAAAAAAGAATTAAGCAGAAATTCCAGAGCTGAAAAATGAAATAGACACACCAAAGAATGCATCAGAATCTCCTAACAGCAGAATTGACCAAGCCAAAGAAAGAATTACTGAGCTTGAAGACAGGTTATTTGAAAATACAGAGTCAGAGGAGACAAAAGAAAAAGAATGAGAAAGAATGAAACATGCCTATAAGATCTAGAAAATAGTCTCAAAAGGGCAAATCTAAGCGTTACTGGCCTTAAGAGAAGGTAGAGACAGATCAGGATAGAAAGTTTTATCAACGGGATAATTACAGAGAACTTCCCAAACCTAGATAAAGATATCAGTGTTCAAATACCAGAAGGTTCCAGAAACCAAGCAGATTTAACCCAAATAAGACTATCTCAAGACACTTAATAAAAAAACTCCCAAAAGTCAAGGATAAAAAAAAGGGTCCTAAAAACAGAAAGAGAAGAGAAATAAGTAACATAAAAGGGAGCTCCAAAACTTCTGGCAGTAGGCTTCTTGAGGGAAATCTTACAGGCTGGGAGAGAGTGGTATTTAAGTGTTGAAGGAAAAAACTTTTATCGTAGAATAGTATATCTAGTGAAAATACCCTTCAAACATGAAGGAGAAATACTTTCTCAGACAAACAAAAGTTGAGCAATTTTATCAACACTAGACCTGTCCTATAAGAAATGCTAAAGGGACTTGAGGTCAGGAGTTTGAGACCAACCTGGACAACATGGTGAAACCTGTCTCCACTAAAAATACAACAATTAGCAGGGCATGGTGGTGCATGACTGTAATCCCAGCTACTTGGGAGGCTGAGGCTCGAGAATCACTTGAACCCGGGAGGCAGAGTTTGCAGTGAGCTGAGATTGTGCCATGCACTCCAGCCTGGGTGACAGAGTGAGACTCTCCATCTTAAAACAAATAAATAAATAAAAATAAAAAAAGAAAGAAGTGCTAAAGGCTAAAGGGAGTTCTTCAATCTTAAAGAAAAGGATGTTAATGAGCAGTAAGAAATCATCTGAAGGTACAAATCTCACTATTAATAGTAAGTACACAGAAAAACAGATTCTAACCCCTGAAATTGTGTGTAAATCACTTATATCTTGAGTAGAAAGACTAAAAGAAGAACCTATAAAATATATAAAAAATAATAACTATGCTTTTTTTTTTTGAGATGGGGTCTTACTTTGTTGTCCAGGCCTGGAGTGTAGTGACATGACCTTGGCTCACTGCAACTTCTGCCTCCCTGGCTCAAGTGATCCTCCCACCTCAGCCTCCTGAGTAGCTGGGACTACAGGTGCACACCACTACACCCGGCTATTTTTTGTATTTTTAGGAGGGACAAGTTTTTGCCATGTTGCCCAGGCTGGTCTTGAACTCTTGGGCTCCAGTGATCTGCCCACCTTGGCTTCCAAAAGTGCTGAGATTACTGGTGTGAGCCACCGCACCCAGCCTAAAGCAACATTTAAGACATTGAGAGTATAATAAGGTATCAATAGAAACAACAAAAAATTAAAAAGTGGGGGGATGAAGTTCAAGTGTAGAGTTTTTTTCTATTAGCCTTATATTTGCTTGTTTGTTAGCTTGTTATTACAATCAGTGTTAAGTTGTCATCAGCTTAAAATAATGAGTTATAAGATATTATTTCCAAGCCTCATGGTAATATCAACTCAAAAACATACACATACAACAGATACACAAAAAATAAAAAGTAAGAAATTAATACATATCACCAGACAAAATCAGCTTCAGTAAAAAGAAGACAAGAAGAAAAGAAAGAAGGAAGGAAGAGAAGGCCAGAAAACAACCAGTAAACAAGTAACAAAAGGGCAGGAGTAGTCTTTAGTTATCAATAATAACATTGAATGTAAATGGACTAAACACTTCAGTCAAAAGACATGGAGCAGCTGAATGGATTAAAAAGAAAAACTAGACCCAAGATCTGTTGCCTACAAGAAACACACTTCACCTATAAAGACATAAATAGGTGAATTAAAGGAATCGAAAAAGATATTTCATGCAAATGGAAACCAAAAAAGAGTATGAATAGCTATACTTATATCACATTACATAGATTTTAAGACAAAACTATAAAAAGAGACAAAGAAGAACATTATATAATAATAAAGAAATCAATTCAACAAGAGGATATAGCAATTGTAAGTATATATGCACCCAACAGTGGAGCACTCAGATATATATTGCAAATATCTTTATAGCTAAAATAATATATCCTCAATACAATAATTGCTGGAGACTTCTACACTACACTTTCAGCATTGGACAGTGCATCCAGACAGAAAATCAACAAAGAAACGTTGGACTTAATCTGTACTATAGACCAAATGGACCTAATAGATATTTAAAAGAACATTTCATTCAGCAGCTGCAGATACACAGTCTTCTCCTCAGCACATGGATCATTCTCAAGGATAGACCATATGTTAGGCCACAAAACAGGTCTTGAAATATTCAAAATAATTGAAATCATATCAAGTGTCTTCAGTGACCACAAAGAATAAAACTAGAAATCAATAACAAGAAGAATTTTGAAAACTATACAAAACATGGAAATTAAACAATATGCCCCTGAATAACTAGTGGGTTAATGAAAAAAAGTAAGAAGGAAATTTAAAAATTTCTTGAAACAAATGAAAATGGAAACACAACACAATAAAATCTATGGGATACAGTGAAAGCAGTATTGAGTATCTACATCAAAAAAAGTAGAAAAACCTCAAATAAACAACCTAATGATGCATCTTAAAGAACTAGAAATGCAAGAGTGAAGCAAACCCAAAATTAGTAGAAATAAAGAAATAATAAAGATCAGGGCAGAAATAAATGAAATTGAAATGAAGAAAATGCAAATGCAAAAGATCAATGAAACTAAAATAAATGAAATGGAAATGAAGGAAATACAAAAGATCAATGAAACTAAAAGTCATTTTGTTGAAAAGATAAACAAAATTGGCAAGTCTTTAGCCTGACTAAAAAAGAAAAAAATAGAGAAGACCCAAATAAATAAAGTCAGAGATGAAAAAGGAGACATTACAATTGATATCAACAAATTAAAAGGATCATTAGAGGCTACTATGAGCAGCTATATGCCAATAAATTGGAAAACCTAGAAGTGGATACATTCCTAAACACATACAATCTACCAAGATTGAACCATGAAGAAATCCAAAACCTTAATAGACCAGTAACAAGTAACAGGATGCCATGACAAAAAGTCTCTGAGCAAAGAAAAGCCTGGGACTCAATGGCTTCCCTGTTGAATTTTACCAAACATTTAAAGAACTAATACCAATCCTACTCAAACTATTCTGGAAAATAGAGGATGAGGGAATACTTCCAAACTCATTCAACAAGGCCAGTATTACCCTGACACCCAAACCAGACAAAGTCATATCAAAAAAAAAAAAAAAAAAAAAAAAAACCAAAAGTACAGGCCAACATCTGTGATGAATACTGATGCAAAAATTCTCAGCAAAATGTTAGCAAAACAAATTCAACAACACATTGAAAACATCATTTATCATAACCAAGTGGGATTTATCCCAAGGATGCAAGTATGATTCAGCATATGCAAATCAGTGTGATACATCATATCAACAGAGTGAAGGACAAAAGCCACACAATCATTTCCATTGATGCTGAAGAGGTATTTGATAAAATTCCACATCCCTTCATGATTTAGAAAAACCCTCAAAAAACTGGGTATAGAAGGAAGATACCTCAACATAATAAAAGCCATATATGACAGACCCACAGTTAGTATCATACAGAATGGGCAAAAATTGAAATCCTTTACTCTAAGATCTGGAACAAGACAAGGATGCTCACTTTTACCACTGTTATTCAACATAGTACTGGAAGTCCTAGCTAGAGCAATTGGACAAGATAAATAAATAAAGGCATCTGAATTGGAAAGGAAGACGTCAAATTATCCTTGTTTGCAGATATGATCTTATATTTGGAAAAACCTAAAACTCCACCAAAAAGCTATTAGAACTGATCAACACATTCAGTAAAGTTGCAGGACACAAAATCAACACACAAAAATCATTTGCATTTCTGTATGCCAACAATGAACAACCTGAAAAAGAAATCAAGAAAGTAATCTCATTTACAATAGCTATAAATAAAATAAAATACCTAGGAATAAATGTGAAGAAGTGAACGATCTCTACAATGAAAACTCTAAAGCACTGATGCAAGAAATTGAAGAGGATACAAAAAAATGGAAAGATATTCCATGTTAATGCATTGAAAGAACCAACATCGCTAAAATGTCCATACTACCCAAAGTAATCTACAGATTCAATGCAATTCCTATAAAAATATTAGACATTTTTCACAGAAATAGAATAAATAATTCTAATGTTTATATGGAACCACAAAATACCCAGAATAGCAAAAGTCAACCAGAGCAAAAAGAACAAAACTGGAGAAATCACATTACCTGACTTCAAATTATACTACAGAGATATGGTAACCACAACAGCATGGTACTGGCATGAAAACACACATAGAACAATGGAACAGAATGAAGAACCCAAGAATAAATCTACATATCTACACTAAGCTCATTTTTGACAAAAGTGCCAAGAACATTCACTGGGGAAAGGACAGTCTCCTCAGTAAATCATGCTGGGAAAATGGTATATCCATATGCAGAAGAATGAAACCAGACCCTTCTGTTTTTCACCATATACAAAATGGATTAAAGAGGCCGGGTGTGGTGGCTCATGCCTGTAATCCCAACACTTTAGGAGGCCAAGGCAGGCAGATCACCTGAACTCATGAGTTCAAGGCCAGCCTGGACAACATGGCAAAACCCCATCTAAAACAAACAAACAAAAAAAACCCCAAAAAACAGCTGGGCATGGTGTATGTGCCTGTAGTCCCAGGAACTGGGGAGACTGAGGTGGGAGGATGGCTTGAGCCTGGGAGATAGAGGTTGCAGTGAACTGAGATCATGGTACTGTACTGCAGACAGGGCGATAAAGCCAGACCTTGTCTCACAAAAAAAAGGGGGTGGGGATTAAATACTTAAATCTAAGATCTCAAACTGTGAAACTACTAAAAGAAAATACTGAGGAAATTCTCCAGAACATTGGACTTGGAAAATATTTCTTGAGTAATACTCCACAAGCACAGGCAACCTAAGCAAAAATGGGCAAATGGGATCACATCAAGTTAAAAAGCTTCTGTACAGCAAAAGAAACAATCACCAAAATGAAGCAACAATCCACAGAATGGGAGAAAATATTTGCAAACACCCATTTGACAAGGGATTAATAACCAGAATATGTAAGGAGCCCAAATAACACAGTAGGAAAAAATATAATAATCTAATTAAAAAATGGGCAAAAGATCTGATAGACATCTTTCAAAGAAGATCTACAAAAGGCAAACAGGTATATGAAAACGTGCTCAACATCATTGATCATCAGAGAAATGCAACTCAAAACTCAATGAGATTGTCACACACGTCCATGTGAAGAGACCACCAAACAGGCTTTGTGTGAGCAACAAGGTTGTTTATTTCATCTGGATGCAGGCAGGCTGAGTCCAAAAAATGAGTCAGCAAAGGGTGGTGGGATTATCATTAGTTCTTACAGGTTTGGGATAGGCATAAAAAGTACATTCTCAAGGGCGGGGAGAATATTACAAAGTACCTTCTTAAGGGCAGGGGAGAATATAGCGTATCAGTTAGGGTGGGGCAGGAACAAATCACAATGGTGGAATGTCATCAGTTAAGGCTATTTTCACTTCTTTTGTGGATCTTCAGTTGCTTCAGGCCATCTGGATGTATATGTGCAGGTCACAGGGGACATGATGGCTTAGCTTGGGCTCAGAGGCCTGACATTCCTGTCTTCTTATATTAATAAGAAAAACAAAACAAAATAGTGGTGAAGTGTTGGGGTGGCGAAAATTTTGGGGGGTAGTATGGAGAGATAATGGGCGATGTTTCTCAGGGATGCTTAGAGTGGGATTAGGGGCAGCATGGGAACCTAGAGTGGGAGAGATTAAACTGAAGAAAGATTTTGGGGTAAGGGGTGATATTGTGGGGTTGTTAGAAGTAGGATTTGTTGCACAGAATGATTGGTGATGGACTGTATGTGTTTTGTATGAATTGAGAAGCTAAATGGAAGACACAAGGTCCGAATAAAAGAAGGAGAAAAATAGGTATTAAAGAACTAAGAATTGGGAGTACCCAGGACATCCAATTAGACAGTGTCCAAGGGGGATCAACGCAATTATTTGCTTGGTTAGTGAGTTTTTGGGCTCTATCCTTGAGTTTTTTTATGTTGTCATATACCAGGCCAGACTGATTTAGGTAAAAACAACACTGTTCATTTAAAAATATACAGAGTCCCCCTTTTTTTAGCAGTGAGTAAGTCGGGGCCTCATTGATTTTGGAGGAAAGAGAAATGTAAAGCCAGCAATTGTTTGTTAAAGAAGGATTAGAAACAGCTAGGAGAGAGTGAGTGAGATTGATAGTGTGGTGGAGATAGCTGCGAAGAGGTAGAGAGGGTGGCATAAGAACGGGAACAAGAATAAGAGTGAGTATAAAAGTAAAGAACAGGACTTCATAAGGGTGAGAGTATTGGAGTGTGTCCTGTCAGCAAAGATCATCTACCCACTCCAAGAGGGAGTCAAGAGTGGTGGATTGGGGATAGATTTTCACAATGGAAAGGAAATGAGAGTTTTTAAGAGGCGGGCTAATGGCTTGTAACCTACATGGAAGAGGTTATGAAATGACGACAGGAATAGAATGGGCTAGTGAGGCTTGAAGGAGATTTTTTTTTTGTCTAAAAACCATCTGCCTTGAGTGGAGAGGGATTGATAGGTGGAAACTTCAGTGGGACAGTAAATAGGAGTGACCAATGAGGAGAAAAACTGGCCATCAGGGACAGAAGTTGGAAAACTAGCTGCCTCTTTAGCTACCTTATCAGCATAAGAGTTGCCCTGAGCAATGGGATCTGATGCCTTTTGATGGCCCTTGCAGCGAATGACTCCAGCTTCCTTTGAAAGTAAAGCAGCTTTAAGAAGAGGTTTTATTAAGGACACATTAATAATGGAGGACTCTTGTGTAGTGAGGAAATTTCTTTCTGCCCATGTAACAGCATGGTGGTGCAGGATATGGAAGGCATATTTAGAGTCAGTATAAATATTGACGCGTAGTCCCTTTGCAAGAGTGAGGGCCTGAGTTAAGGCAATGAGTTCGCCTTGCTGAGAGGGAGTGGAGCAGGGCAGAGCAGTAGCCTCAATGATAGATGTGGAAGATACTATAGCATAGCCTGCCTTTGCTGATGAGTGGTGATTAGGCCTGGTGGAACTGCCATCAATAAACCAAGTGTGATCAGGGTGAGGAATAGGAAAGAAGGAAAGATGGGGAAATGGAATAAATGTCAGGTGGATCAGAGAGATAGAGTCATGGGGGTCAGGTGTGGTATCCAGAATAATGTGGGAGGCTGGATTGAAGTCTGGGCCAGGAACAATGGTAACTGTGGGAGACTCAACAAAGAGTGAGTATAGCCAAAGGAGCCGGAGGGCAGAAAGTATATGCATCAGGTGGGAGGAAGAAAATAGATTTTGGAAGTTATGAGAACTGTACGGAGTGAGTTGAGCATAGTTTGTGATTTTGAGGGCCTCTAAAATATTAAAGCAGTGGCAGCCGCTGCACGCAGACATGAGGGCTAGGCTAAAACAGTAAGGTCAAGTTGTTTGGACAGAAAGACTACAGGGCGTGGTTCCAGCTCTTGTGTAAGAATTCCGACCACACAGTCCTGTACTTCAGCTGTGTGTAATGAAAAGGGTTGGGATGAGTTTTTTAAGGAATGGAAAGAGGAGTGGGGAAAGGATTTAGGATCTATGGGGTCAGCTACATTTATCTAGAACAGAATAATGGGTTGTGGAGGGAGGTATTGAGGATAGGAGAGTATATGGGTTTGGCATCACGGTGTGGATAGGCAAGACAATTTGGTTGATAAGGTGCAGATCCTGAACTAACCTGTAAGACTTTTCCGGGTTTTGGACAGGTAAAATGGAGGAATTGCAAGGAGAGTTTATAGGCTTTAGAAGGCCATGCTGTAGCAGGCCAGTGATAACAGGCTTTAATCCTTTTAAAGTGTGCTGTGGGATGGGATACTGGTGTTGAGCGGGGTAAGGGTGATTAGGTTTTAATGGAATGGTAAGGGGTGCATGATCGGTCACCAAGGAGGGAGTAGAGGTGTCCTATACTTGTGGATTAAGGTAGGGAGACACAAGGGGATGATGCGAAGGAGGATTTAAACTGGGGAAAAGGGCAGCAATGAGGTGTGGCTATAGCCCAGGAATAGTCAGGGAAGCAGACAATTTAGTTAAAATGCCTCACCTAATAAGGGAACTGGGCAGGTGGGGATAACTAAAAAGGAGTGCATAAAAGAATGTTGTCCAAGTTGGCACCAGAGTTGGGGAGCTTTAAGAGGTTTAGAAGCCTGGTCGTCAATAGCCACAACAGTTATGGAGGCAAGGGAAACAGGCCCTCGAAAAGAAGGTAATGTGGAGTGGGTAGCCTCCGTATTGATTAAGAAGGGGATGGGCTTACCCTCCAATGTAAGAGTTACCCAAAGCGTCTGTGATGGTCCAGAATGCTCCCGAGGCACCTCATAAATATATACACCTACTATGACCCAGAAAAACTAAAAATAAAAAAAGCTAAAAAAATCAAGGGTCTCACTAACAGGCTCATTTTAACTAAAAGGGGGCAGCAAGGTGGACTTTTGAGCTAAGCAGTGTTGTGGTCAAATACTGAGTGAGTCACTTAACCTTCTCCCTTCGCTTCTGATCCAGCACAGTGGCGCCTAGGACTATGCATGGGACACGAGGGGTTACTCAATCAGTGATGTAGAGACAGCTGGCTAAGTCTTATACAAACTCAAGTTCTGTTCATACCGCACTCTGTAAGCCAAAATAGTTTCAAATGGATCAAAGATTTAAATACGAAGAAACTACACAAGTTTTAGAATAAACTGAAATCTTTCTAAAGTCTTAGACTATTTAAAAGTTTTAGAATAAACTGAAAACTGCAAGTTTTAGAATAAACTGAAAATATAAAATGAAATTTACAAAAGTTTTAGAATAATGGGTGAATTTATTAGACTCTTGAAATGGAGCATCCTAAGGAAAACTCAAACTTTATAAAGCAAATGATTGAGAAATCTGACCTCAGAAAAAAGATGAAACATCACTGGGTGAAAACACCTTTGAAAGTTTTTTAAAAAATGACAAGCTATGAAGGAAATGTTGCAGGCAATTTGACAGAGAGCTTATTTTCTTAATTTACAAAGCACTCGGAGGAACTCAGTAAGATAGATTAAAAGCTCAATGGCAAAATGGGCAAATGGATAGTTCACAGGAAAAAAACTAAAATGGCAAATAAAGGAATGCAAATTCTGAAAATTATAAGATATTATTTTCTTCTATCAGATTGAAAAGAAAATAGAGTGTGAAAATATCCAATACTGGCGAGAGTGTAGGGAAAGGGACATCGTTGAGTGTTCTTGATGGGAAGGTAAGTGGGTGTAAGGTACATGGATGTGCTTTGGTCAAGAATAGGTTAGCCAGGTGCGGTGGCTCACGCCTGCAATCCTAACACTTTGGGAGGCTGAGGCGGGTGGATCACCAGAGGTCAGGTGTTTGAGACCAGCCTGGCCAACATGGTGAAACCCCATCTCTACTATAAATACAAAAAAAAAAAAAAAATAGCTGGGTGTGGTGGCTCGGGAGGCTGAGGCAGGAGAATCGCTTGAACCTGGGAGGCGGAGGTTACAGTAAGCCGAGATTGCACCATTGCACTCCAGCCTGGGCGACAGAGCGAAACTCCGTCTCAAAAAACAAAAACAAAAACAAAAACAAAACAGGCAGAGGCAAACATCAGGGCCAGCGTGACTCAGGGAGTCTGGCGCGCAGGCGCATAACTCCACTTGTTATGTAATCTGTTTGTGTAAGTGGCTCAGAGCCACTATTGTCTGTAAAAGGTATAACTGCCCTGCTGACGCTGTACATGTGGTTCGGCATGGCTTGTGCCCAGAGGCAGAGAGTAAAACTGCTGACCCCATAAGGGAGAGCCAGGCTTGTAGGCCAGGGAATGCAGCTGTAAGCCTGGGAATGGCAAGAGCCGCAAAGCTGGAGCAGGCAGCCGAGATAAAGGTGAATTGTATGAGAAAGCTTCTGATGAAACTATCACAAGGACAGAAAACCAAACACCGAATGTTCTCACTCATAGGTAGGAATCGAACAATGAGAACACTTGGACACAGGGTGGGGAACATCACACACCGGGGCCTGTCAAGGGGTGGGGGGCTGGGGGAGGGATAGCATTAGGAGAAATACCTAGTGTAAATGACGAGCTGATGGGTGCAGCAAACCAACATGGCACATATATACCTATGTAACAAACCTGCACATTGTACACATGTACCCTAGAACTTAAAGTATATAAAAAAAACTGCTGATGAAAAAGCTGCTGAATAAAACCATATTTTACCTGCCTACAGCCCCCTAAATATTCCTTCCGCTATTCGCCACCCATCCACCCACTCCCCTCAGACCTCAACATGGGCTGGAACCTGACGCTTGGCATGACAGTGGGCAAGAGCTTTTTGAAGGAAAATTTGTCAAGATCTATTAAAAAAAAGTCAATTCATGGACCTTTTGACTAATGCTCCACTATTGGAAATTTCTCCTAAAGATATACTCAGATAGGCCAGGCGTGGTGGCTCACGCCTGTAATCCCAGCACTTTGGGAGGCTGAAGTGGGCAGATCACGAGGTCAGGAGATCGAGACCAGCCTGGCCAACACGGTGAAACCCCATCTCTACTAAAAATACAAAAATTAGCTGGGTGTGGTGGTGCACGCCTGTAGTCCCAGCTACTTGGGAGGCTGAGGCAGAAGAATCGCTTGAACCCGGGAGACAGAGGTTGCAGTGAGCCAAGATCACACCACTGCACTCCAGCCTGGGCAACAGAGCAAGACTCTGTCTCAAAAAAAAAAAAAAAAAAAAAAAAAAAAGATATACTCAGATATATACCAAGATACAGGTACAAAAATACAAAAACATGGTCTGGGATGACATAACAATGTGTGCATCTGTGCATGTGTATACACACGCAGTCATACATGGGGCCTTGTATGACACACAGATACATCGGCATGCATTGTGCACCTACAGCTCCAGTCCCTCCCCCAGCGCCTGACTCATACAGCCAATAGGGGGCTTGTCATCTTTATTTGAGCATCTGTACGCCCAACAGAGTCCCTGTTTCCTCTCCCCAATTCCACCCCAAAACTGCTGCTCTCTTAGTCTTTCCATTTCCGTAAAGGGACCCACCTTTACTGCCCTCCCAATTGCTCAAGTGAAAACCGTAGAAGTCACCTGCAATTTTTATTCCTTTCTTTTCACTCCCTCCCACATCCAATCCTTCAGCCTGTTGGGTTGGCTCTACGGCCAGAATGCATTCTGAGCTTGTCCACCTTCTCCAATGGCCACATCCACCACCCCATTCCAAGGTGCCATTGTGTGACTCCCTTGCTTGAAATTTTTCAGAGTTTCCACTTAGGACAAAATCCACACATTTGCGTATTAACCCTTCCCTGATCTGACCACTGCCTGCCTCTGCCTTTCTGCGTCTGCCTCCCACCAAGCTCCCCACATTGTCTACTCTGTACTCATCTGGCCGGCACCCTAAGCCTGGGACACACTAGCCTTGTTCCCCCTTAGAGCCTTTGCCTGAGCTGTTTCCTCTGCCAGGAATGCTCTCACTCTATATTATTGTGTGGCTGGCTCCTTCTCAAGTCTCAGCTCAAATGTCAGGAAGTCCCTCCATGACCTCCCTATGCAAGCAGCCCTTCCTGCCTCTCATCACTCTCAGCTGTACACAATTCAGATCTTCACACAGCAGTTCTGTGATGATCTGAACGAAGCTTGCTTTTGTTTTGTTTGTTCTGTCTACTGCCCACTAAGATACAAGGACCAGACAGAAGGGGCCTCATTTATCTTCTTCACTGCTATGTCTCTGCTGTATAGCTCCATGGTATATAGTAGGTATTCAATAAAAGTCATCAAGTAAATGAGTAAATAACGGAATGAATTAAAACTGTGGAATCACATATAAAAGAATGAGGTAGATTTGTGTGTACTTGTATAACAAGGTCTCTAGGACATATGCAAAAGTGAGGTATGAAGAATTATGAGCCCCTCCCCCCACTTTTTTTGGAGATGGAGTCTTGCTGTGTCGCCCATGCTGGAGTGCAGTGGCGCGATCTTGACTCGCTGCAACCTCTGCCTCCTGAGCTCAAGCGATTCTCCTTCCTCAGCCTCCCAAGTAGCTGGGATTACAGGTGTGTGTCACCACACTTGGCTAATTTTGTATTTTTAGTAGAGACAGGGTTTCACCAAGTTGGCCAGGCTGGTCTTGAACTCCTGACCTCAGGTGATCCGCCTGCCTCGGCCTCCCAAAGTGCTGGGATTACAAATGTGAACCACTGCGCCTGGATTAGCCCTTTTGAAAATAATTTTGAAATAATAATAAGTTTTCTGAAAGCTGTGTAAGAAATGGCTAACAGTAGTCACTTTTGTGGAATGGTACTAGGGGTAGGGTAGGAGGAAGGAGACTTTTTTGTTAATTTTATAACTTCCTGTACTGTTTTAATTTTCTGTCCATTGCACATGGGTTTAAAATTTTTTTTTTTTTTTGTCCTGAGATGGAGTCTTGCTCTGTCACCCAGGTTGGAGTGCAATGGCGCGATCTCGGCTCACTGCAACCTCTGCCTCCCAGGTGCAAGCAATTCTCCTGCCTCAGCCTCCCCAGTAGCTGGGATTATGGGAGCTTGCCACCGCGCCTGGCTAATTAAATAATTTTTACTTTTCTTTTTGTGTGTGTGTTAAGAGACATCATCTGGATATGGAACGATACACACTTTTCTGAATTAATGTTATTCTTTTTGTTGTTATTGTTGATTGTTTGTTTTTGAGATGGAGTCTCGCTCTGTCACCCAGGCTGGAGTGCAGCGGCATGATCTTGGCTCACTGCAACCTCCGCCTCCTGGGCTCAAGCGATTCTCCTGCCTCAGCCTCACGAGTAGCTGGGATTACAGGCATGCACCACCATGCCTGGCTAACTTTTTGTATTTTTAGTAGAGACGGGGTTTCACCATGTTGTCCAGGCTGGTCTCAAACTCCTGGCCTCAAGTGATCTGCCTGCCTTGGCCTCTCAAAGTGCCAGGATTACAGACGTGAGCCACAGAACCCGGCCAGAATTAATGGTATTTATTTAAAAGCAATGAGAACTATTTATTTGTAATTGGCAGAAGTTTAAATCATTTTTTTAAAGGCACCATTCCCAATGTTGGCCATGGGATATGCTGAAGGATATTTCCATACCAGGCTGATAGGAGAATAAATTGCACCCAAATCCTATCGAATATACTACCCCTGGGCCGAGACATTTCTAAGAGTGTATCCTAAAGAAATAATTATGTGCAAGAATGGTCACATAATTGGTTATAATAGCAAGAAACTAGAAACATCCTAAATCCCCAACAGTAAAGATATGGTTAAATAAATTACATTACATCCATAAAAGGAACATGATACAAATTTTAAGAGTATATGTTATTTGAACCCATATTTTATAAGGAAAAAATGTAGATATATGAACATTGTTATTTTCTTCTTTTTGTCTGTATTTTCTAACTTTTTTTTTTACAACAAATAGATCTTTTTTCTGTAGTTAATATAAAAAAAATTTTTTTTTTTTTTTTGAGATCGAGTCCAGTGTGTCACCCAGGCTGGAGTGCAGTGGTGTGATCTTGGCTCACTGCAACCTCCGTCTCCTGGGTTCAAACAATTCTCCTGCCTCAGCCTCCTGAGTAGCTGGGATTATAGGCATGCGCCACCACGCCTGGCTAATTTTTGTATTCTTAGTAGAGGCAGGGTTTCACCACGTTGGCCAGGCTGGTCTCGAACTCCGGACCTCAGGTGATCTGCCTGCCTCAGACTCCCAAAGTGCTGGGATTATAGGCGTGAGCCACCACGCCTGGCCTAAAAAAAAACTTTTAATGGCTTCTAAATTGTTTGCAAAATGAAATTGAAGCCTGTCAGTGAAGCTGATGTTCTGTGAGCTGGCCTCTCCCTCCGCCCTCACTTCCCACCACTCGAGGCCTCCCCTTTCTGCTCCAACAGGAAGGAGTGGCCAGCTCTTCCTCCCCAGGCCCTGCCTCATCCAAACCTCTTGCCATGCACTTTGCTTTAGAGGCACCCGGCTTGCTTATCTTGTAAGACTCCATCCACCATCCAAGAGCCATTTTCAGGAAGCTACACAGGTGCCTACTTGCCCTCCACCACAGTGGGATGTGCCTGTCCTGCCTGCTCCCAGGACTCCTTGACTTTCTCTATCATTGTAACTCAGGACATTTTGTAGTAACATTTTGACACTTAATGTTATCAGGCTCCCCAACTGGTCTCCAAGCTCCTTCTAGACTGTGTCCCCATATAGGAAAAATATCATACATATTCGTTACTGGATGGATGGATGGATGGATGAATGGATGACTTGGTTCTTCTTCTAACCACTATTCCTGGTCCTGGCTTCCTGATAGTAACCACATGATTAGTTGGGTCCACGTACCTCTGATTCAAAATGTCTAAATAGGTTATTTATTCATAAATTTTTAAAAAATCAGAATGGGGTCAGGTGCAGTGACTCACACCTGTAATCCCAGCAATTTGGGAGGCTGAGGTGGGAGTTACTTAAACCCAAGAGATCAAGACCAGCCTGGGCAACATAGTGAGACCCTGTCTCTACAAAACAAAACAAAACAAAACAAAACAAAACAAAACAAAACCACACATACATACACAAAGCAAAAGCAAAAAAATTAGCTGGGCATGGTGGTATGTGCCTGTAGTCCCAGCTACTTGGGAGGCTGAGGTGGGAGAATTGCTTGAGCCTAGGAGGTTGTGGTTGCAGTGAGCTATGATTGCACCACTACACTCAAGCTTGAGCAAGAGAGTGAAAACCTGTCTCAAAAAATAAAAATAAAAATTTTTAAGTTGAAAAAAATCAGAATGGGAATTAGTTGAGAAGATTCAAAGCAACATTCTACATAAATTCCATATAAGACTGCCAAATAAAGAGGTAGACATTAGATTCTCCTAAGGGAAATGTGAAATCCAGAGGCTAAGGAGAAAGTTCCAGTTGACACCGTGTTGATTATGGAGTTTCAGCTCTCTCGTCATGAAGCTCCCCCTCCTCCCCTCACACTCCAAGGTTTTCCTGAGGCTCTGAGAGGCCAGCTACAGTCTCAGTGGGGATGAAGCTGCTTCTACTTCGTTTGTGATGGGAGTGAAAATGGCCCCAAAATCCCATTTCCCAGAGCTCTTTCTCTGACACTTGTAGAGAATCTTATGCAGAACTTTCTCCTGACCCCATGTCCTTTGGGTCAGCTGATGGCCTGTGAGATTGATAATCTAGCAAGTTTGGACATTCGTGACACTCTTGCTAACCCAGGTACGGAATGCTTAGAGAGGGAGTTTTCTGATCCTGTTCTGCTTCTGTGGAAGGCAGAGCAGCTTAGCCCATTGATATTCTGCAGGTGACTTTGATCTTGAATTCAGTTAATTGTGTGTCAGGTGATTACCCACACCTGTCAGTCAAAGCGCCCTGCTCCTTCCTCATAACCCATCATCCCTTTTGTTTCCTGGCATTCCAGATTCTTCCACTGCACACATTAACTCACAGACAGATGCCAGCATCGTGCTTCACCATATATATATATATATATATTTTTTTTTTCCTGAGATAGAGTCTCACTCTGTTGCCCAGGCTGGAGTGCAATGGTGCAATCTCAGCTCACTAAAACCTCTGCCTCCCAGGTTCACACGATTCTCCTGCCTCAGCCTCCCAAGTAGCTGGGATTATAGGCACGCACCACCCCAGCTAATTTTTGTATTTTCAGTAGAGACAGGGTTTCGCATATTGGCTGGGCTGGTCTTGAACTCCTGACCTCAAGTGATCCACCCACATTGGCCTCCCAAAGTGCTGGGATTACAGGCATGAGCCACTGCATCTGGGTGGTACGGCTGCCACCCTTACAGATTGTTCTATTATGTTATTACTGAACACTTGCCACCACAGCTTGCATAGGCGGCTGAGGTCACTCGGTCACCTGGTCAACAGCAGGCACATCTGCTGTTGGGTTTTACTAGGAAAAGAGTGGCTAGTTATGCTTTAATAATTTATTAAGAAGGTCATTGTGCTTTATAGAATGGCTTAACAAGCCAGGCGCGGTGGCTCACACCTGTAATCCCAGCGCTTTGGGAGGCCGAGGTGGGCGGATCACAAGGTCAGGAGATCAAGACCATCCTGGCTAACACGATGAAACCCCGTCTCTACTAAAAATACAAAAATTAGCCGGGTGTGGTGGCGGGCGCCTGTAGTCCCAGCTACTCGGGAGGCTGAGGCAGGAGAATGGCGTGAACCGGGGAGGCAGAGTGCAGTGAGCCGAGACCGTGCCACTGCACTCTAGCCTGGGTGACAGAGCGAGACTCCATCTCAAAAAAAAAAAAAAAAAAAAAAAAGAATGGCTTAACAATTACGGAGAAGAGAGAAAAAAAGAAGACAGGAAAGAAAGAGGAAGGGAGGAAGAAAGGGAGGTAATTCATATACAGAGAGAATACTTTGGGATCAAGGACTCTACTCAATTCTTTCCTGTAACTCTCAACACTCCTGGAAGGTAGAACCTGCTGTTCCCATTTCCCACTTTCCTTACCAGACACATAGGAACCCAGAGCTTGCCCTCAGCCTGGGCTTCAGGAGTAGGTCCCGGGCTCCAATGCACCATGTGGCCAGATTTGCAGAATGTAGGTCAAAGGGGAGAGTCCAAAGGTCAAATTCAAAGGACCCGAGAACAGGAGCAAAGGAAAGAATCGACAGCAAAGAAATTTTGGACAATGAGGATGCAGGTCAGGGGTGCTTAGAAAGAGTCCCAGAGGTGACGAAACAGCATGAGGATGCCCAGGGAGAGAATGGCAGGGCCTTTTGTTAAGGGCTTGCATCAGCTGGGTGTAGTGGGTCACACTGCGGTCCCAGCCAGTCAGGAGGCTGAGGAGGGAGATTTGCTTGAGACCAGGAGGTTAAGCCCAACTGGGACCACATGGTGAGACCCTGTCTGTATAAATAAATAAGAGTGGCCAGGTGCGGTGGCTTACATCTGTAATCCCAGCACTTTGGGAGGCCCAGGTGAGTGAATCACCTGAGGTCAGGGGATTGAGACCAGCCTGGGCAACATGGCGAAACCCCATCTTTACTAAAATACAAAAATTAGCCAGGTGTGGTGGCAGGTGCCTGTAATCCCAGCTACTTGGGAGGCTGAGGCAGGAGAATCATTTGAACCCGGGAGGCAGAGGTTGCAGTGAGCCTAGATCGCACCACTGCACTCCAACCTCAGTGACTGAGACTCCCTCTCAAAATAGAAATAAATAAATAAGAGCTTGCTTCAGAGCCTGGTGAGGGTGAACGCACTGGAGGGGCACTGGACCATTGCTGGAACAAATGAAGAAACTGAGACCCAGATGGCCTTGAATGGCAGCCCCAGACCATGTAGGTCACAAGGGCAGAGGTGGGATTTAAGGCCTGTTCTATCTGACCCCAAACCCATGACACCAACCACAGGTGGGGTGGCTGCCCTTGCCTTTGACACACTGCAGTCGGGGTGGGAAAATCTAGGAATTGGGAAGGGACAATTGGATATGAAATAAAGAAACTCAAAGTTAGAGAGGAGTTGAGTTTTCTTGTTTTGTTTGTTTGTTTGTTTTTTGAGACAGAGTCTTGCTCTGTCACCTAGGCTGGGGTGCAATGGCGCGATCTTGGCTCACTGCAACCTCCGCCTCCCAGGTTCAAGCGATTCTCCTGCCTCAGCCTCCCAAGTAGCTGGGATTACAGGTGTCCGCCACCACACCCGGCTAATTTTTGTATTTTTAGTAGAGACGGGGTTTCGCCATGTTGGCCAGGCTGCTCTTGAACTCCTGACCTCAAGTGATCCGCCTGCCTTGGCCTCCCAAAATGCTGGGATAACAGACGTGAGCCACCGTGCCCGGCCAAGGAGTTGAGTTTTCTTTCGGCACAAAACATCCAAGGACTGGGCGTGCAGAGGGGCTGGAAAGCCATGCAGGAGTTTTCTGTCTGTTCCCCTGTTTCAAGCCCTCCCGCTTCTCAGCTGCATTGACCCAGAAAGTACAGAATTCCTTTGGCGTTGACAGACCAACCCCAACGAATTCAACAGGCTTGGGAATCCAGGCATGTGTGATTCCCCGCATGGCCACAGGGTGGAGATACGTGGCTATCAAATCTCTATGTTTGGTTCCCAGGCAGAGTCAGGTCTACAAACCAGGGCTGGTGTTTGCCCAAACAGTAAACTTTAAAAACAAAGAAACATAATTGTGAGGTCATTTTCTAAACTGTGGATAATTCAGCCCTGAGTCATCTTTCTAAAAGGCTTGGGCTAATTAGAAAATGTCTTTCACCTCCTTGGACCAATTGTGAACATATTGATGATTAACCTAACATTATTTAATCCTCCGAATATCTATCATGTTGGCATTGGACATGCCAAGTGAGGCGCTGTATTTTGAAGGTGAACTTGGATTGTAAAACAAAGACAAGGCACAACTACGGGAAGGCTTCACCAGCTACTTTCAGAAAACACCGGAGTGGCACCTTTGTGTACCCGGCACATGCAGACAAAGACAGTGTCAGCAACCTGTTCTCAGATGGTTCTGGGGAAAAACGCATAGATAGAAACAGAGTAACAAAAAAGTGGCAAATTAAAAAAAAAAAAGGGTAAATCTGGGAAAATGACATACGGGAGGTCTTTGTACCTTTTCCACAATTTTTCCTTAAGTTTGAAATTGTTTCAAAATACAAGGTTTTTTTTTTCATTGTTGTTGTTTTTAATGCTAAGATCCAGAATTCCTAGATTCAAGGTTCAGATATTATCACCCAATGGAGTGGCATTTGTCATTTCAAGTAGCCTCTCTGGCCCGTGGCTCTTCTGTAAAATAAAGAAGGTGGCCAGGCATGGTGGCTCATGCCTATAATCCCAGCACTTTGGGAGATCGAGGCAAGAGGATCACTTGAGGCCAGAAGTTCGAGACCAGCCTGGCCAACATGGCGAAACCCTGTCTCTACTAAAAGTACAAAAAAATTAGCCGGGCATGGTGGCATGTACCTGTAATCCCAGTTACTGGAGAGGCTGAGGCAGAAGAATCACTTGAACCTGGGAAGCAGAGATTGTAGTGAGCCAAGATTGCACCACTGGACTCCAGCCTGGGTGACAGAGCAAGACCCTGTCTCAAATAAAATAAAATGAAATAAAATAAAAAAAGGCAATCTGTTGTCACTGCTGCAAAGCATTCTGTTGTGTGAATAAACCCCTCAGCTCACCCATTCCCTGAAAAAAACAAAAAGAATAAAGTGGAATGTTCTCTCTGCATGTGAATTACCTTCCTTTCTTCCTCTCTGTCTTTCTTTCCTTCTTTCTTTCTTCTCAGTAATTGTTAAGCTGTTCTATAAAGCACCATGGCCTTTTAAATAAATTATAAGAGGAGGCTGGGAGTGGCGGTTCATGCCTGTAATCCCAGCACTTTGGGAGGCTGAGGCGGGTGGGTCACCTGAGGTCAGCAGTTTGAGGCCAGCCTGGCCAACATGGTGAAACCTTGTCTCTACTAAAAATACAAAAATTAGTTGGGCATGGAGGCATGTGCCTGTAATCTCAGCTACTCTGGAGGCTGAGATGGGAGAATCGCTTGAACCCAGGAGGCAGAGGCTGCAGTGAGCCGAGATCGTGTCATTGTACTCTAGCCTGGGTGGCAGAGCAAGACTCCATCTCAAAAAAAAAAAAATTAAAATTAAAAAAGAGAAGCATAACTAGTCACTCTTTTCCTGGTAAAACCCAACAGCTCATGTGGCTGATCACAGAATGTTGAGGTGACCGAGTGACCTCAGCTGCCTATGCAAGCTGTTGTGGCAAGTGTTTAGTAATAACATATTAGAACCATCTGTAAAACACTGGAGTGGCCCCTTTCTGTACCCGGCTCATGCAGACAGAGACAGTCTGGCTGTACCAACCAGACTCGTAACTGTTTAACAGGTAAAGCACGACGCTGGCATCTGTCTGTTAGTTAATGTGTGTGGTGAATGAGTCTAGAATGCCAGTGAATAGAAAGGAGCAGGGAGCTTGGATTTACAGGGGTCCGTAATCTCCTAAGGCTCAATTAACTGAATTCAAGATCAAAGTCACCTTTGATATTTGAATAATCAATAATCAATTTGATTAAATATTACATAATCAATTTGGATAACTGATATTTGAAATAATATTTTTATTTATTCACCCCAATATTTATTTACCCCCAAAATATTATCAGGCTGGGTGCAGTGGCTCATGCCTGTAATCTTAACCTGTTGGGAAGCCGAGAGGGGAGGATGTCTTGAGCCCAGTAGTTTGACCAGTGTGGGCAAAAAAGTGAGAGTCCATCTCTAGAAAAAATCAAAAAAATTAGCCAGGCCTGGTGGCATGCGCCTGTGGTCCCAGCTACTTGGGAGGCTGAGGCAGACGGATCACATAAGTCTAGGAGTTTGAAGGGGCAGTGAGCCATGATCATGCTGCTGCACTCCTCCCTGGGACTATGTCTCAAAAAAAAAATGTATATGCACACACACACACACACACACACACACACACAAAGTCCTTCAGTCCAATAGGTACTCATTGTGTTATCAATGAGATAGTTGACATCCTGTCGTTTGCAGTAAGTCGTAGATTCAAAGCCCATTTCAGTTTGGACTGGCCGGTCCCGAGGGCTCCATGCTCACCTGTGGTTGCTGTACTGGGCAGCAGTGTCTCCTGCAGATTCTCTTGGCAACTCCAGGTCGGCCCAGCCCTGGGTCCCACCAGCTCGCGCTCTCTCCCCTCCCCATCTCCGCTTCAGGCCACCCCTTTTCTAGTCTGAGACGGGACAGTTTCCTCTGGCTCCTCATTATTTCCTCAAATCTATGGCTACTCAGGAGGCTGAGGTGGAAGGATCTATTGAGCTTGGGAGGCAGAGGTTGCACATGCCTGTGATCCCAGCTACTAGGGAGGCTGAGGCAGGAAAATCGCTTGAACCCAGGAGGTGGAGGTTGTAGTGGGCTGAGATCGTGCCATTGCACTCCAGCCTGGGTAAAAAGAGTGAAACTCCATCTCAAAAAAAAAATCAATACATTCAATACACTCCTAATAAAAAGGAATTTTTTTGAGGAACATAATAAGCTTATTTTAAAATGCATTCAATGGAATAAAGGTCTACAAATAGCTAATTCAACCTTTCTAAACTTTTACACTCTGCTTCCCTTATAAAACTGATGCCTTTAACAGTGCCCAAATCATCTCTTGAATGCTTTGCTGCTTAGAAGTTTCTTCCGCCGGATACCCTAAATCATCTCTCTCAAGTTCAAAGCTCCACAAATCTCTAGGGCAGGGGCAAAATGCCACCAGTCTCTTTGCTAAAACATAACAACAGTCACCTTTACTACAGTTCCCAACAAGCTAATTCAGCCCGGCTATTTTGTATTTTTAGTAGAGATGGGGTTTCTCTATGTTGGTCAGGCTGGTCTTGAACTCCCTACCTCAGGTGATCCGCCCATCTCGACCTCCCAAAGTGCTGGGATTACAGGTGTGAGCCACCGCACCCGGTCAAATATATTGATTAATTTGGGAAGACTCGACATCTTGGTGTCATTAAGTCACCTGAAGTAAGAGCCTAAAAGATCTCTCCATTTATTCAGATCATCTTCTGTAACCTTTATTGGAATTTTATTGTTCTCTCCATAGAGGTCTTATATAGTCTTGGTGATATGGTTTGGCTCTGTGTCCCCACCCAAATCTCACCTTGTGGCTCCCATAATTCCCATGTGTTGTGGGAGGGACCCAGTGGGAGATGACTGAATCCTGGGGGCGGGTCTTTCCCATGCTGTTCTTGTGATAGTGAATGGGTCTCATGAGATCTGATGGTTTTAAAAATAGGAGTTTCTCTGCACAAGCTCTCTCTTTGCCTGCTGCCATCCACACAAGATGTGACTTGCTCCTGCTTTGCCTTCTGCCATGATTGTCAGGCCTCCCCAGCCACGTGGAACTGTAAGTCTGTTAAACCTCTTTCTTTTGTAAATTGCCCAGTTTCAGGTATGTCTTTATCAGCATCGTGACAATGGACCAATGTAGTAAATTGGTACCAGTAGAGTGGGGTGCTGCTGTAGATACCTGAAAATGTGGAAGTGACTTTGGAACTGGGTAACAGGCAGGGGTTGGAACAGTTTGGAGGGCTCAGAAGAAGACAGGAAAATATGGGTAAGTTTGGAACTTGCTAGAGACTTGTTGAATGGCTTTGATCAAAATGCTGATAATGATATGGACAATGAAATCCAGGCTGAGGTGGACTCAGATTGAGATGAAGAACTTGTTGGGAACTGTAGTAAAGGTGACTGTTGTTATGTTTTAGCAAAGAGACTGGTGGCATTTTGCCCCTGCCCTAGAGATTTGTGGAGCTTTGAACTTGAGAGAGATGATTTAGGGTATCCGGCGGAAGAAACTTCTAAGCAGCAAAGCATTCAAGAGATGATTTGGGCACTGTTAAAGGCATTCAGTTTTATAAGGGAAGCAGAGTGTAAAAGTTTAGAAAATTTATGGCCTGACAATGTGATAGAAAAGAAAATCCCATTTTCTGAGGAGAAATTCAAGCTGGCTGCAGAAATTTGCCTAAGTAACGAGGAGCCAAATGTGAATCCCCAAGACAATGGGGAAAATGTCTCCAGGGCATGTCAGACGTCTTCATGGCAGCCCCTCCCATCACAGGCTTGGAGGCCTAGGAGGAAAAAGTGGTTTTGTGGGCCAGGCCCAGGGTTCCCCTGCTCTGTGCAGCCTAGGGACTTGGTGCCCTGCATCCCAGCCGCTCCAGCCATGGCTAAAAGGGGCCAACATAGAGCTTGGGCTGTGGCTTCAGAGGGTGCAAGCTCCAAGCCTTGGCAGCTTCCATGTGGTGTTGAGCCTGCAAGTGCACAGAAGTCAAGAATTGGGGTTTGGGAACCTCCACCTGGATTTCAGAGGATGTATGGAAATGCCTGGATGTCCAGGCAGAAGGTTGCTGCAGGGGTAGGGCCCTCATGGAGAACCTCCGCTAGGGCAGTGTGGAAGGGAAATGTGGGGTTAGAGACCCCACACAGGGTCCCTACTGGGGCACTGCCTAGTAGAGCTGTGAGTAGAGGGCCACCATCCTCCAGACCCCAGAATGGTAAATCCACTGACAGCCAGCACTGTGCACCTGGAAAAGCTGCAGACACTCAACGCCAGCCCATGAAAGCAGCTGGGAGGGAGGCTGTACGCTGCAAAGCTACAGGGGCAGAGCTGTCCAAGACCATGGGAACCCATCTCTTGCATCAGCGTGACCTGATATGAGACATGGAGTCAAAGGAGATCATTTTGGAAATTTAAGATTTGACTGTCCTACTGGATTTTAGACTTCCATCAGACCTGTAGGCCCTTTGTTTTGGCCAATGTATCCCATTTGGAATGGCTGTGTTCACCGAATGGCTGTGTTCACCTAATGCCTATACCCCCATTGTATCTAGGAAGTAACTAAACTTCTTTTGATTTTACAAGCTCATAGGTGAAAGGGACTTGCCTAGTCTCAGATGAGATGTTGGACTGTGGACTTTTGAGTTAATACTGAAATGAGTTAAGACTTTGGGCGACTGTTGGGAAGGCATGATTGGTTTTGAAACGTGAAGATAGGAGATTTGGGAGAGGTCAGGAGTGAAATGATATGGTTTGGCTCTGTGTCCACACCCAAATCTCATCTTGTAGCTCCCATAATTCCAACTTGTTTTGGGAGATGACTGAATCACAGGGGCAGGTCTTTCCCATGCTGTTCTTCTGATAGTGAATGGGTCTTATGAGATCTGATGGTTTTAAAAATGGAAGTTTCTCTGCAGAAGCTCTCTCTTTGCCTGCCACCATTGATGTAAGATGTGACTTGCTCCTCCTTGCCTTCTGCCATGATTTTGAGGCCTCCCCAGCCAGGTGGAACTGTGAGTCCAGTTAAACATCTTTCTTTTGTAAATTGCCCAGTCTTGGGTATGTCTTTATCAGCAGCATGAAAACAAACTAATACACTTGGTAAAAATTAATACGTCAGTTTTGGGTGTAGAGGGATAACTAGTAAGGTGGAAATTAAAGATTGCTATTTCAAGCTGGGCATGGTGGCTCACACCTGTAATCCCCACACTTTGGGAGGCTGAGGCAGGAGGATCACTTGAGTGCAGGAGTTCAAGACCAACTGGGCAACCTAGTGAGACCTCATCTCTACAGAAAAAAATAAACAAAGTTAGCCGGGCATGGTGGCCTGAGCCTGTAGTCCTAGCTACTCCAGAGGCTGAGGTGGGAGAATTGCTTCAGCCTAGGAGGTGGAGGCTGCAGTGAGCTGTAACCAAGCCACTGCACTCTCAGTGCACTCTGCCTGAGTGACAGAGCAAGATCTGTCTCAAAAAATAAATACATAAATAAAAAGATTGCTATTTCTTTTTTTTTCCTTTTTATTTATTTATTTTTGAGATGGGGTCTTGCTCTGTTGCCCAGGCTGGAATGCAATGGCATGATCTCGGCTCACTGCCACCTCCACCTCCCAGGTTCAAGCAATTCTCCTGCTTCAGCCTCCCAAGTAGCTGAGATTACAGGTGCATGCCACTGCGCCCAGCTAATTTTTGTATTTTTAGTAGAGATGGGGTTTCACCATGTTGGCCAGGCTGGTGTCAAACTCTTGACCTCGAATGACCCACCCACCTCAGCTTCCCAAAGTGCTGGGATTCAGCGTGAGCAACCATGCCTGGCCAAAGATTGCTATTTAAAGTTGCCATATGCTTGGCAATATCTATCAAAATTACAAGTGCACGGACTTTGAATTTCTCCAACTTTACCCTTCAGCTGTCTATGAAAATGTGCAAAATGGCATGTGTATGTCATGGTACAAACAATGGAATGTTATGGGATGTTCTGCAGCATTTATAGAAGAAGGTAAAATAATCTCCAAGATGGTTGTGACATGAAAATACTACTGTGCAGGAATGGTGGGAATGGGGAGGATATCCCCACATATGGGAATGGGGAGGAGCATATACATATAGGCCGTATATACATGGATATATGTGCAAATGATTAACTATCTCAGGGGAGAAACACAAGAAACTATTAACCTTGTTTATCTCTGGATGCCTGGTGACAGAAATAAAGGGACCAACTTTTCACTGTATATTCTCCTGTAAATTTTGAGTGTGGGCAGGGCATGGTAGCTCATGCCTATAATCCCAGCACTTTCGGAGGCTGAAGTGGGTGGATTGCTTGAACTCAGGAGTTCAAGAGCAGCCTGGGCCACATGATGAAACCCTGTCTCTACAAAAAATTAGCCAGGTGTGGTGGCGCATGCCTGTAGTTCCAGCTACTCAGGAGGCTGAGGCAGGAGAACTGCCTGAACCCAGGAGTTCGAGGCTGCAGTGAGCAATAATTGTGCCATTGTACTCTAGCCTGGGCAACAGATGAAGACCCTGTCTCTGGTTTGACAAAGATGGTTCTTCCCAGTGTCCTTTGGTATGCAGAGCATCCTGGAAGGGAGTTGGACAGTAAGACTTCCAGAAGACTATTGCAAGCCAGCCCGCTCCCTCCTGCTATGAGGCCTCCTTGGAGAATGGGGGTGGTCCCAACTGAGACTCTCTGGCAAGGAAATGACATGAAGGACTCCCAAGGGGCTGCCACCTTCCACAGGGCAAATGGTTTATACCGGGGAACTTATTCCACCACCAAGCCTTAGAGATTGACGGGGCAGGGGGCTGGGGCCAGCGTGTGGCTGTGGCTGCAATACCCTCCTGCCCCAGCCTCACCCCGCCACTCCACCCAGTTTTATTGTGGAGGTTGTGGTAGTTATAGCAGCCGGCATTGACAACCAACTGATAGCCTAGACATTTGCATTTTACAGAGGACTTACTTCTAATTGATAGAAATTTAGACCGAATTAAAGAGAAAATACTATTTCAGAGAATTAAAGTTCACTCCCATTGAGGAGAAGGGGTCCTTCGAACAATCCCCTGAGTCTTAGAGTCAGTCTGGTGCCACGAACCTCTGTGTTTTAAACCACCCTGTGGAATTCTGTCTCTGGAAACAGGAACCTGAGAAGGGTTACTGCAGATCAGGACTGAAACGTGACCGGGCTCAATTCAAGTGAAGTCAACAACTATTTCTGGGTTCCCCTCCGTACCAGGCACATGTCTAAGCCCCGACCCACATTATAGGCTTCATGGCAGCCTCACCTTTCAGATCCAGGAGTCCACATTGCACAACTCCAGGAGTTCAAGGCTGAGCAACACAGAGAGACCCTGCCTCTAAAAAAGAAAAATTAAAATGAAAAAATAAAAACATAAAGCTGTTGGCAGCTGCCACAGACTCAAGACAGCCTGGACAACTCTTTGCATTAAATTTCAAATCTCCCGACAAGAAAACTGCTGTGTTTTCCATCATGCAAACTGCCAGGCATGGTGACTCATGCTGTAATCCTAGCACTCAGGGAGGCCAAGGCAAAAGGATCGCTTGAGCCCAAGAGTTCAAGACCAGCCTGGGCAACATGGCGAGACCCCATCTTTACAAAAAAAAAAAATTCAGGCATGGTGGCATGTGTTTGTAGTCCCAGCTACTCAGGAGGGTGAGGCAGGAGGATCACTTGAGCCCAAGAATTCCAGGCTGCAGTGAGCTGTGATCGTATCACTGCACTCCAGCCTGGGGGACAGAGCGAGGCCCCATCTCAAAAAACACACAAGCAAACAGACATCATGGCAAGAAGCAGCTGTGACCCACCTTCTCCCACTCAGTGAGGACTTCTCTTAGGATGTCCCCAACCCACTGCACCCACAAGGCTTCTCTGCACTCATCTGGTATCAAAGCTGGGAGCTTTCTTTTGCAGAGGATTGCAGACACATAGCAGGCATTGTTTAAATAAGTTTTTACTTCTCCCTCAATAAGATATTTGAAACTGTTTTTATATTTCATATTAAAAATAAACCTAAGAGTCCAGAGAAACTTGCCACCAGTTCTGGAGCCATGAGCAATTCTCTCCTCCCTCTGGCCTCAGTTTCCTTGTCTGTGAGATGGGGAGAATCTTTGATCTTGATCTTTAGTGGGTCCCCCCTCCATGGCCCCCAGGTGAACAGATCTCCGCTTTGGCACTCTCTTCACTCTTCTTGACAGTTCTCCCCAACTCCCAAGCAATTCCAGACGTTCCTATGGGGCTGTGATTGACAAAGCTATTGGCAGGTGCCACCTACGTGAGCCACATCTTTTCCTGGAGCCACGCAGGAAGAAGCTTTGTCCTCCACACACAGAGCTGGGATGAAGCAGGGGCAAAGGGGAAAGAGGTGACAGGCACTGGTGGCTGGGAGTGCTTCCTGCTGCTCTCCGGAGCCCCCAGCCCTGCTGGCCCTCGGGGAAGCCAATCAAGCTGATGGCAACAGAGGGATGGCCTGGGAAACCCAGCTGCCTGTCTGTTGGTCACTGTTGTCGAGGGCAGGCTGAGAAGGACGTGGGCCAGGTATAAGGGAGCTGTCCCTGGACTTCCTGGGGCCCATGAGAGCTCCGATGGCGAGGCAGGACAAAAGCCTATGTCTTCCTTATCACACTGTAATCTGAATCTGGTTCCTCCTCCCGAGGCCTCTGAGCAGCTATCCTGTTGGTGTTAGAATCAAACACCACCGAGGCATAGTGAAGTTCTTCCCTGGGGGAGGCCTGCAGAGAGAAACCAAGAAACTGAAGACTTGGGAGAGGCAAGGGAAGAAAGGACCCCCAACATAGGATGGAGGAGGGAGGACACCTGAGGGGCTTTGGGGAGGCCTCACTGTAGAGGCTCCACTGTCCTGGCCTCTTTTTCTCTATGATCCTGTCCACCCAGCTGCTCCTCCCCAACTGGGCAAGCAGCAGCACAACATCCCCAGCATCAGAGGCAGGAGGCTCCGGGGGCTCCTCAGGGCTGACCCAGCCTGGTCCATTCTACAGGGAAGAAACTGAGGCCCTGAGACCTGGCTGGGCTCCCCCAAGACACCTCTGTGCTTCTCTTAATGAAATATTCTTGAGGCCAGGCACAGTGGCTCACGCCCTTAATCCCAGCACTTTGGGAGGCCAAGGCGGGTGGATCACTTGATGTCAGGAGTTTGAGACCAGCCTGGGTAACATAGTGAAACCCAGTATCTACTAAAAATACAAAAACTAGCTGGGCGTGGTGGTGGACACCTGTAATCCCAGCTACTTGGGAGGCTGAGGCAGGAGGATCGCTTGAACCGGGGAGGCGGAGGTTGCAATGGCCAAGATTGCACCACTGCTCTCCAGCCTGGCGACAGAGTGGGACTCTGTCTCAAAAAAAAAAAAGAAAAAAAGAAAAGAAAAGAAAAAAAAAGGAAAGTTCTCACAACGAAGCAGCCATGGATCCCTTTCTGCAGAGGACCCCTCGTTCTCTAGGTGGAGTTGAAGCCAGTACAGGGGTACTGCGTTGGCCCTGCAGCTCTGATTAACTTGCTGTACTGTGGGCATGAGTCCCAACTTGTACCAAGGGGGCTGGGAGAAGAGTAAGACCATGTGCCATCCACTTTAAATCATGAGACAACAAGTTAGAACAAGGCTGTTGCTGGTCCCAGGCCATGCAGCTTCGTGGACACAAGATCATGTCATGCAAGGAAGGAGTCAGGCTTGAGTGCAGGGGCGCTCAGAAACTTGGCCAGGAGCTGGCCGGGTGTGGTGGCTCAGTACTGTAATCCCAGCACTTTGGGAAGTCAGGGCAGGCGGATCACTTGAGGTCAGGAGTCCGAGACCAGCCTGGCCAACATGGTGAAGCCCCGTCTCTACTAAAAATACAAAAATCAGCCAGTGTAGTGGCAGGTGTCTGTAGTCCCAGCTACTCTGGAGGCTGAGGCAGGAGAATTGCTTGAACCTGGGAGGCAGAGATTGCAGTGAGCCAAGACTGTGCCACTGCATTCCAGCCTGGGGGATAGAGCGAGATTCCAAAGAAAGAAAGAAAGAAAGAAAGAAAGAAAGAAAGGAAGGAAGGAAGGAAGGAACTTGGCCAGGAGCCATCCAGGACCCTGGGCCCCCAGACCACCCTCATCCTCATGCAGACAGCTGGCGGGAGGTTGGGGAACGGTGCGGCTATCAGGGGACCCGGAAGTGGCAGGTCTGGATCCCCTCTTCTCCTGTCAGGTGCAAAACGGCGGCCTGGGGAGAACGGTACCAGGCTGGAGATATCCCAGGGAGTTGGGCCACTTTTCCAGGCAGACCAGCAACAATGTCCCCTGTCACCCTGGTGCCAGCCCTCCATGGCACCACACGACTTGTCTGAGGGGCCTCTTCAGCTCCCAGGCCTGGGGGCACTTTAAGCTTCCCTGCTGATGCTTACATCCCTCCCGATCCTCTCTGCCAAGTGACCCCCAGCTTCTGCTTGAACTCTCCCACTAGCAGGTGGGTCACGACCCAGGGAGGCAGCCCCCATCCCATCATCCCAGTTGAAGGTGGCTGCGCCCAAGGGTTGACCCACAGCGGGTCACAGACAAAAACCCGAAAGCAGAATTGATGTCAAAGAGATGATGAGACCAAAACAGTGAGAAGTCACAGGTTCTCAGCTTGGCTCACGATACACAGCAGGTGCTTAACCCATGCTGGACTTCACGGACTGTCAGAGCCATAGCTGCTGGCCACCCCCAAAAACCCCCCACCACAATGACACCAAGCCCTCCTAAGGACCTCTGCTCTGGCAAAATCTACACTTGCTCCATCTCCATGTGGCCCTGTCCCTGACAGGCACAAGATCACCAAGCCGACCCCTTCCTTCCCCTTCTGCCCACCCTCCCAGGGGTGCCCTGGCACAGCCCAGGGGCCGCATGCCCAAAAGCCGGGCTCCTGCACTTACCACAGTGCTGTATTCCACCTCCACCTCCCTTGGTGGTGCTGGCTTTTCCTGCAGAGGCCACATCAGCAGCTCCAGATTTGCGTAGTGCAGCTCACTCTGCGTGGCAGCCTGGGTGGGCAGGAGGTCCCAGGTGGGTGTCCACGGAGCCCTGCAGCCTCTGTCCCTGCGTCTCTGCATGTGTCTCCCCTTCCTCTATGCTCTGAGCACCTCAGCCCCCACCTTCCCCTTCCTGCCTCCACCCCACTCCGTCCAGTAGTTTAATGTTCCCCAGGTCAGCTTGGCTGGGAGGGCCTCCCTTCATTCCATTTGCCTTGGTGGGGAGGGGACAGGCTGGCCAGGACTCAGAACAAGACCTAGTGACCACATCTCCCAGCATCATTCGTCCTGCTCTGGGTGAGCTCCCCGCTCCATCCAACCTCCGTTGGCCGATGGGACTGTCCAACTCCCCAGCAGCCTCTGTACCCTCCGCCCAGCCACCTGATACACCTCCTGCTAAAGCCCCCTTACCTGCTTGGGGTTCTGGGACAGCTCTGAATGGTCACCAGCTAGAGACAAGAGGAGAGGAAGGAGGTTGAATCCCGGAACAATGGCCAGGATGGAGGACCTTACAAGCCTTCTGGGAAAAGGCCTTTCCCTAGAGACCTCAGCCCTGGGGACCTATCCCTTCAGGCCTGAAGCATGGTAGGAACTCAAGGGTTTGTTGAGTGAGTGAATTAGTGACTTAGTAAATGAATGAACGAGCACAGGATGAGTGAATAAATGGAGAAATAGAAAGATTCCAGCTGGGCCGGGTGCGGTGGCTCACGCCTGTAATCCCAGTGCTTTGGGAAGCCGAGGAGGGCAGATCACTTGAGGTCAGGAGTTCGAGACCAGCCGGGCCAATAGGGTGAAACCCTGTCTCTACTAAAAATACAAATATTAGCTGGGCATGGTGGCACACGCCCTGTAGTCCCAGCTACTTGGGAGGCTGAGACAGGAGAATCGCTTGAACCTGGGAGACGGAGGTTGCAGTGAGCTGAGATCATGCCACTGCACTCCAGCCTGGGCAACAGAGCAAGACTCTGTCTCAAAAACGAAAAAAAGAAAGAAAGAAAGGAAAGAAAGCTCCCAGCTGGAGGAGAGGGACCAAAACAAGCTCTCAACACGGGATCTCACACAAATGTTTCCAGGGGAGGAAGGATGCCACTGAAAAGCCCTGTGCATCTGGGGCTTAGGGCTGCATCAGACTGTGGGAAGTTGCTGGGGCCTCTGCTCCCATCCCCGTGCCTGAGGTCTGCCCTCCCAGACAGCCCACCTGCCTGCTGCCCCAGGCCGTAGGGAAGGAGGCCTGTCAGCCCCAGGGACGCCAGCTCAGGCTCACACAGCCCTTGGCTGCTGGCACCTGCTCTATAAGGGTGCTGCCTATGAGCACAGCCCTGTACACCCTAACCCTTTCACCCCAGGAGCCCGGACCACGTGGGCAGCGGGTGACACACACGCTGCTGATGCCCTTGGTTAGGTCCACAGCCAGGCAACCCCAGAGCCCACTGCACTGGATGCTGTGGGGATCTGTGGGCTCCTCCCCCAGAATTAAAGGGGAGGAGCCCACGGTTGGGAGACACAAGACCACGTATAGTGACGGGCTTGCTGAGCCACAGCTGACCTAATGGAGTGCGCAGCCGGGTACTCTGGGGTGCGAAGTGCCCTGCTTCCAAGTGCTGTGCGCAGGCACCACACTGCCCTCCCTGTCCCCACCTGGGACAAGTGTTCTGATGGGAAGGAGAAAAAGAGCTGGTGGGGAAGAGACAGGAGTTCAACGCCCGGGAAGGAGGGTGGTAGTGAGAAGGTTTGGGGGAGCCAGCGGTAGGGGAAGCTCACTGAAGGTAAGACCCAGTCTACCCCAGTCACAATGTTGTCCCCAGGGCCCAGCACAGGCCTGGCACACAGTAGGTGCTCAGGACAGCTTTGTTGTACGAATGAATGAACGACAAATGTGGGCTGGGGGAAAGAGTGGGGAGTAGGTGTGATGAGGCAGGTGTCAGGCTCCAGGCAGGGCAAGGGGAAGTCAGCCCCAGCCACACAGTCAGGGGATGGGGCACGGACTTGCAAAGCAGGGGACAGAGAGTCAAAAATGTTTGAATAGAAAGCCTTTATCTTGTTACTGAGGATGGGTTACAGGAAGCTTAAGACACCAGTAAACTCTGCGTCTGTGATTTTTAGAACATTTACTAGCTGGGAACATGGTACCATATGTTAAGTGCAAAAATGTAGGTTTAAAAGAGAATGAGTGGTATGAGGCCAATTTGTTAAGACATCGCAGATGCATGACTGGGTGTGGTGGCTCACATCTGTAATCCCAGCACTCTGGGCTTGAGCTCAGGAGTTCAAGACCAGGCTGGGCAACATAGTGAAACCCCATCTCTTAAAAAAAAAAATTTAACCATTAGCCAGACGTGGTGGTGAGCACCTGTAGTCCCAGCTATTTGGGAGGCTAAGGCAGGAGGATCACTGGAGCCCCGGGCAGTGGGGGGTCGAGGCTGGAGTGAGCCAAGATCATGCCACTGCACGCCAGCCTGGGTGACAGAGTGAGACTCTGTCTCAAAAAAGAGAAAAAAAAAGAAATCATAGATGCATTTACATAGGCATAGAAAAAAAGACTGGAAGGATATACCTCAGGGGCCAGTGGCTGGTTTTCTCTAGGTGGTGGGGTTTTTAGTTATCATCGATGATGGGGGATTTATTTCCTTCTTTGTGCTTTTGCTCATTTTTCAAACTTCCTACAATAATCACATACATCCTTTTCAAGGGGGGAGGAGGCTCTTTGAGGAGCCAGAGACTTTCTGGGTGAAAGGGCACAAAGGAAACCGAAAGGGGCTCAGAACTGAGACAACCCAGTGGCATCCACGTGGGTGCTGAAGTTTAGGATGGGATTACCAGAAAATGACACACACAAAGCAGATGGGAAAGAGGAAGTGGTTTTCTTCCCATACACCCTGCACAGATCTACTGAGGCTGATTTCTCCGCCAAAAGCCTGGGCGCCACAGGAGGCACTGGGGATATGTGTGAGCAGTGCCCCCCACCAAGCATGCAGCAGCTTATCCTGCAGCTATGGGACAGGATAACCCCATCTCTTCCCACCCCAGTCTCACTGCAGTCTTGGAAGGCTTTGGACAAAGATTCCCCTGAGAATCTTCTGCCTGTGGAATCTTCAACTCTCCGAACAGGGAGGAAGCTTCAGGCTTACACTTGACCTCGGCCAGGGATCTGCAATCTAGAGGACTGGTGGCCACACCTCCACTTGTTCCTCTGTTCCTGTGCTTATTCAATTTGCCTATCAGCTATTTATTGAGCATCTACTTACTGAGTGCCAAGAGTTCCTGTTCTCTCTTTTAATCTGAGCTCAGAGGAGGGCAGCTGGACTAGAGATTGCCTGGAGGCCCCTGGGGTGCCCGTTGCAGCTGGAGATACTGAATAACACATTAATTTGACAAATATTGGTTCTGTACCTCCTTGAAGCACATGCCTGTGGGAAGGCAGATGAGGACACCAGCAATGACAGTCTGGTTCCCAAAAGGCTGTGACAGCAGAGGTATAGCCAGGAGGGGCCCCAAGCCACTCTTTGGAGTCAAAGAAAAGGTCCCAGAGAAAAGAAAGTCTGAGGACCACTGTTGGAGTCCACTGGGAGTGAGCTGGGGAGAGGGGGCAGGGGAGGCCCTCCAGCCCAGAGCAAACCCAGAAGGAGAGGAGAGGCTGAGGTTGAGGCTGTCATTAAAGGAGATACAAGAAGTTGGTTTCCAGGGTGCGCGGATGGGGAGAGGGAGGTGGGTAGAGCCAGATCGTGGAGGGCAGTGACTCCTGTAGATACCTGGACTTTTTATGGTGGGGGAGACCATGCAAGGGTTTATTTTATCTTATAGACACGGGAGCCTTGTTGTGTTGCGCAGGCTGGTCTTGAATTCCTGGGATCAAGCAATCCTCCCATCTCAGCCTCCTGAGTAGCTGGAACTACAGATGCACACCACTGCACCCAGCACACCATGCCAGGGTTTTAAACAGAAGAGGGTCATTGCTTCATGGGGCAACCACCCTTGGCCTGGAAGTGGGAAAGCCTCCTGCTTGGGAGCCACCTCTCACAGCCTGTAACCACCACGCACAAGGATGCCTCCCATGGGACCTGCCCTGTAGGATCACCTAGGATGTGTGGTCTGGGTGTCACATGTCATAGCAATACTGTGGGACGTGGACATAGCTTTGAAGATGAGCGTCTGTGGTCAGGGTCTGACCACCCCAGGTGGGGCAGAGGGGTGTGGGGAGCCAACTCACCTTTGATCCATTTCTGAAACATCCTCCAGGCTAGCAGGGAGGCCCCCACCAACAGAAGCAGCAACAATGCCAGCAGGGAGAGGAGCAGCGGGAGCCTGGAGGAGGCACAGGATGGTAAGGGCGGGGCCAACTTGCCTTCTCCAACTTACTTTTTTATTTTTATTTTTTATTTTTATTTTTTGAGACAGGATCTGGCTCTGTTACCCAGGCTGGAGTGCAGTGGTGATCATGGCTCACTGCAGCCTTGAACCCCTGGGCTCAAGTGATCCTCCTGCCTCAGCCTCCAGCTACAGGCACAGGCCACCACGGCTAATTTTTAAATTTTTCGTAGAGACTCAATCTTGCTATATTGCCCAGGATGGTCTCAGACTCCTGAGCTCAAGCCACCCTCCTGCCTCAGCCTCCCAAAATGCTGGGATGACAGGCATGAGCCAATATACCTGGTCTCCTTCTCTAACTTTTTAAGTAGATAGATAAGGTCAATTAAAAAAAATAGACAGTATAAAGCCCCCTTTCTACACACCCCCCATTTACACATTCCCCAATTTCCCCACATACACACACGTGCTGTTCTTAAGAACCTTCCAGAGTTTCTTTATGTGTATACAAGCAAATACGAATGTACGGGATCTCCTTTCTCTTTCACACAAAGGAGGCCTCGTCTAACACTATTCTGGTTTTACTTAGCAATACATCTTAGAGGTCTTTCCACGTCAGTACATAAAGAAGTCCCTCACTCTTTCCTATAGCTGCAGGGTATTCCAACACATGGATAGACTGTGATTTATTTAAATGTTCCCACTGAATGGGCATTTCCCCAGTCCTTTGCAATGGTAAACGTTGCTTATAAATCGCCTTGCAGCTCCACCTTTTCACACCTGACCACGCAGCAGCAGATTGACCAGGAGGCTGATGCAGCCCAGCTTCAGGTCCCTCCATTGCTTGGGCCCTTTCCTTCATGCCTACGTTTGCATTCATAATTTTCTCATCTTTTTCTTAGATTACCCACCCACCAACCCACCCCGCAAACTGCACAACCTTCAGGCCCCACAGAACTCAGCGCTGCCACCTATGTGTATCTACAGGCTAAACTTCTGGAAGTGGCATGTTCAAGCCTGAATTTTGCCTTGTCTTATATGTTGGCAGAAGCCTGTGGAGGGGTTTATGGATGTTGTCCAGTAAAGAATCTGGCTGGCCTTTGTCCCTAGCTCTTAGGAGGGAGGCTCTAAATCCTTGGAATGTCCCAAAAATTAGGAGTGTCTTTGTTGTTCATGAATCACACCTGGACTTTGGTAAGAGATGAGACAATAGGATGGGGCTGGTCACCAGAAAGACCAACTACGTAATTAGAGATTTGGAGCCCTGAGCCAGCCCAACCTCCCAAAGAGGGACTGGAGGTGGAGACAGTTCAATCACATCATGCCTATGTAATGAAACCCCAATAAAAACTCTGGACACCAAAGCTTGGAGGAGCTTCCTGGTTGATAAATATATTGAGGTGCCGCAGGGAGGGTGCAGGTGATGCTCCCTGATTCCACCTGGAGAGGGCACAGAAACTGTTTGGGAATCCTCCCAAGCCTTGTCCTATGTGTCTCTGCATTGGCTGGTCCTAATCTTTATCCTTTATCCTTATGATAAAACTGTAATTGTAAGTATAATGCTTTCCAGAGTTCTGAGTCTAACAAATTATTGAACCTGGGGGGGTCCTGGGAACCCCCAAATTTGCATCCAGTTGGTCAGAAGTGTGGTGGCCTGGGGATCCCCAAAGTTCGACTGGCATCTAAATCAGGGCGGTCTTGTGGGATCTGATTTAGATGTGGAAGCTCTTCACCTGTGGGGTCTGCACTAACTCTGGGTGGATAGTGCCAGGATGGAATTGTGGGGTTTTGTGCTAGAATAGGGAGTCCGTGAATCCCAGAAAAGGTTTGTGACTGCATGTGTTTTTCTGGGGAGAGTGTCCATAGATGTCAGATTCTATGTGGGGTTGGTGAACCCGAAAAAGGTTAAGAACCACTATTTAGAGAGGAGAACTCAAGGCTCTGGAGTCACATAAACCAGAATTGGAAGCTTAGCCTTAGCCTCTTGTAGCTACTTGACTGGGCAAATTGCTTCACCTCGCTGAGTCTCAGTTTACTCATCTGTAAAATGGGGATTGATGTGGGTTGGCTGGGTCCCCACCCAAATCTCATCTTGAATTGTAGCTCCCATATAATTCCCACGTGTTGTGGGAGGGACCCAGTGGGAGATAACTGAATCATGGGGGTGGTTTGCTCCATACTGTTCTTGTGGTAGTGAATAAGTCTCACGAGGTCTGATGGCTTTATAAGAGGAAACCCCTTTTGCTTGGTTCTCATTCTCTGTCTTGCCTGCTGCCATGTAAGACATGCCTTTTGCCTTCTGCCTTGATTGTGAGGCCTCCTCAGCCATGTGGAACTGTGAGTACATTAAAACCTCTTTCTCATTATAATTTATCCAGTCTCGGGTATGTCTTTATCAACGGTGCGAAAACAGACTAATACACGGAATGACAACAGTACAGGGCTGCAGTGAAAGGCAAGTGAGAATACTCATGTGAAGCATCTAACACGGGCCTCGTAGGATGTTACCAGCTGTCAGTAACTATCACTTTCCTTCCATCTGCCCCCCAACTTCCCCCCTACCTGAGCCCCCTTCCAAAGCCAAGGGCAGGTCCAAGCCGGGGTGTTCAGACTATGGCTTCCAACCTGGGCCTGGGGCAAAGGGAGCGATGCACACCTCCAGCTGGCCCACATGGCCAAGGTCCCCGCCCTGGGCTCCTCCTCTTAGCACAGGGCCCCCTCCATGTCTCAGGGGCTAGGGTGCTTACTGTGAGTTCACCACCTCCTCAGTTTCCTCCTGGATGCTGGCACTGTGGGTGGCACCCACTGCAAACAGGGTAGTGGATGATACAGGTGGAAATGCAGTTGTGATTGTTGAGGTCTTGGCCGCAGTGATACTTGCAGGTGTCATTGACGTTGATGCTGGTGGCAAAACCACAAGTCAGACCCAGGGAGCTGTCCTCTGGCTCTCCCACCACTCAGGATGCCTTTTTGGTTTGATTTCACACAAACTGCCCACTAAGGAAGGGGGCAGGATGCAGGACCCTGGGGCTAGAGTCTCTCCAGGACCCTCCTGGGCCAACTGGGCATTTCTGAACAGGACACGGGTGCCACTCCCAGTGGTCCTGATTTTCCATCCTGCTGATGAGGGTCCAGGTGCTCCTGCGAAACTCCATGCTGCAGAGGAGTCTGTCTACACTGCAAATCTGACCTGTCATGTGGTAAGGCTCCCCCTGAGGACAGCAGCTTCCCATCTGGCCCCCCAGCCTCTCTGTTCAGCCCCACCCCTCCCCCACTCAGCTGCACTTCCGTTGGGGCTGAGCCACAGGTGCGCTCCTGGCTCCTTCACAGGCAACGCTCTCTCAGCCTCCCTGTCACTGGACCCTTCCCTTCTTCAATACTGGGCAGACATGTCAGCTGCTCCAGGAGAGACCCCCTGACTGTGTTCCCCTGGCCCCCACCTCTCTCTCTCTTACGCACACACACACACACACTGTCTGCTTCACGTCTCTGATCTGATTCCTGCCCCAACAATTCCAACCTGAGCCTATTTAGGCGCTGAGGGAAGGAGGGGCTCACCCGGGAACACGGACACCTCAACCTCGACAACGGGATCATGAAAGTCTCGGAGCCATGGTGTATCCACCCCACACCAGTAGGTGCCTGCATCCTCCTCTGTGAGATTCTCCAGGGTCACTGTGAAGCTGAGGTTTGCAGGACTGTCCCTGATGGACACTCGGCCGTTCCTTTTTCCTGCTGACCCTTTGGTCTCCACAATCTTGTCACATAGGAAAATCTGTGGTGGTCTGCACCAGTATTTGTTGAGGGTCCTGTGTTCCTTCTCATAGGGACACTGCACACTCAGGGATCCCCCCACGGGGCCCGCCACGGTCCTGCATTTGCTCAGAGCAAAACATCCTGGAAAACACAAGCCAGAGTCCCAGCTCCTCCTCAGATGAGCCTGGTCAGGGGTGCCCTGGGGTCAGGGCCGCATGGACCCTGGGGGTGTGGAGGAGGCAGCGGCAGGCAGAGAGGCCTTGTCCACCCAGGAGCGGGGACTGAGGATGAGAGGCTACCTCCGCACACAGGTGGGAATGGGGCAGAGGCTTTCCATGGAGACCGGAAGAGCTCAGGCTGGGTGCCCTGGAGTCACCTCCTCCAAAGATTCCCCGACTCCACATCAGCACCCCCAGCCCTCAGCCCCTGACTCCTTCACCTCATATCAGCCCCATCAGCCAGATCACAGCTTGAGTATTCTCTTTTCTGCTCTACCACCCTCAAGATTTTGCTCATAGTAGCCCCTTTCTCCAGCCCCCTGCCTCCTTTCCCTTACCCTTCCCACCCCTCTCACCCACCAGGGGCCTCCTGCTTCCAAACCTGCCAGGAGCATGAGAACTCACCCCTAAGCACCTGCACTCCCGGGAGGGCCACCCCAGCCCTGGGCAACCCTGCAAGAGGAAGACCGGCCCACACACTGATCTGGTCCCACCAAGGGGCAAACCCGGGCAGTAATAGGGTTGTCAAGCCATTTTGACAAGAATACTGGCTGGGTACAGTGGGTTATGCCTGTAATCCCAGCACTTTGGGAGGCTAAGGTGGGTGGATCACTTGAGGCCAGGAGTTCGAGACTAGCCTGGCCGACATGGTGAAACCCTGTCTCTACTAAAAATACAAAAATTAGCTGGGCGTGGTGGCATGCGCCTGTAATTGCAGCTACTGGGGAGGCTGAGGCACAAGAATCGCTTCAACCCTGGAGGCGGAGGTTATGTTGAGCTGAGATGGCACCACTGCACTCCAGCCTGAGTGACAGGGTGAGACTCTGTCTCAAAAAAAAAAAAAAAGAGTCACAAACGCAGAAGGCTTGCTGACGAAAACTTTCATCCTGTGTCTTACCTTAGTTTGCCCAGCTCTCCTAGACTTAAATCTCGGAAATAAATGAACTTCCTTGAAAATTATGTCTGACATTTTCCCAAATAATTATCAGATGCAAAGCAAGGAGAGTAAGGTGATGGCTCGAAGCTAGTGTTGGCTGCCAAGCAGAGGACACATGGCCCCTGCCCCAGGCAGATGGGCACAGGCCTGCTGGGCAGTTGTGTGTGCAGTGTCTCAATGCCCTTGTAATTCTGTGATTAGGCCCCATATTGTTCAAGGATGGTGGGGATGGGGGCTTGCTCTTCTTTCCTTGGGTTAGAACTCTTTGATTTTTTTTTTTTTTTGAGATGGAGTCTTGCTCTGTTGCCCAGGCTGGAGTGCAGTGGCGGGATCTCGGCTCATTGCAACCTCTGCCTCCCGGGTTCAAGCGATTCTCCTGCCTCAGCCTACCGAGTAGCTAGGATTACAGGCGTCCACCACACCCGGATAATTTTTGTGTTTTTAGTAGAGACAGGGTTTCACCATGTTGGCCTGGCTGGTCTCGAACTCCTGACCTCAGGTGATCCACCTGCCTCGGCCTCCCAAAGTGCTGGGATTACAGGCATGAGCTACTGCGCCTGGCCAGAACTCTTTAATTTTACTTACTGTTTCAGATGCTAAATCTCCTCACACATGAGACTTTGGTAGGGGTCTCCTTCTTATACCTTCAACGTCTACAGGTGCCTTGCACCTGTAGGCCCTCTACAAAAACTTCAGTGCAAGCTTCTCCTGGACCCCACTAGCTCCACACCCAGCCCACGGCTGCCCAAAGATAAGCTCCTCTGTGCCTCTCCCAGAGTCCCACCCAAACCTCTCCACGCCTGGATGTACACATCCCCCTGCAGAGAAGGCCTTTCTAAGCTTGTCACAGGTGTGATGCTTCCTGAGGCTCTCAGCAGCAATTGCCAGGACAAAGCAGAAAGATCCTCAGAACCATCTGCGTTTACATCTCTACCCTATTACGTATCAGCTGTGTGTTCTGGGGCAAGTTAGTTAACCTCTCTGAGCTTCAGACACCTTGTCTATAGAGTGGTGACAATTGTCCCTGACTCATATGGCCTTTGAGGGTGTTAAATGAGATCACAGGTATAAAATGCCTGGTAAATAACATTAGGTTGAATCACATGAAATGGCTGATATTAAACTTTTTGACCAAGACAACAGGGTTTCACATGACTCCAGCTAATAAAAATAGATAACCTCTGGGCTGACTAAATAAGACATGACAAGAGAAAAGGACCATAGATGAAGAAAGAATGAAGAGTCAAGATATTTTGCAGAAATTCTCTACATAAAATTCATAAACTTAGATGAAAGTTATTTTCTAGAAAAACACAAATCACTAAAATTGACACATATTAAGTACTTAATAAGTAAATGGAGCCTGGGCAACATAGTGAGATTCCATCTCTACAAAAAAATACAAAAATTAGCCAGGTGTGCTGGTGCACACGTGTGGTCCCAGCTACTCAGGAGGCTGAGGTGGGAGGATCATTTTAGCCCAGGAGGTTGTGGCTGCAGTGAGCTATGATCGCATCACTGCACTTCAGCCTGGGTGACAGAGTGAGACCCTGACTCAAATAAATAAATAGGCCAGGTGCAGTGGCTCATGCCTGTAATCCTAGCACTTTGGGAGGCCAAAGTGGGAGGATTGCTTGAGCCTTAGGCATTTGAGGCCAGCCTGGGCAATGTGGTGAGACCCCCATCTCTACCAAAAACACAAAAAATTAGCCAGGCATGGTGGCACGTGCCTGTATTCCCAGCTACTCAGGAGGCTGAGGCGGGAGGATCACTTGAGTCCAGGAGGTGGAGGTTGCAGTGAGCTGTGATCACACCACTGCACTCCAGCCTGGGCGACAGAGTGAGACTCTATCTCAAAAAAAATAAATAAAAACTGTCAGTTCCCAGCCCTCCTTCACCCAAGACACTGTTCCTGCTCCCTGTCCTGACCCGATTCCCTGCCTCTCCTGGGCTGCGAATCGTCATCTTTCTTTGTCCATGTTTTGGCTTCTCTCCTGACCTCAGTGACCCCACCACCTCTGCCCACTGCACCCAATCCTGTCTCTCGTCCTACCTCCAGTGTCTGACTTCCCTTCGGATTTAGTTTCTTTCTCCCTCTCTCTCTCTCCCTCTAGCTCTCTCTCTTTCTCTCTCTCCTGATTAACTTCTCTTCTCTGAAATCTTGGATAAAAAACTGTCACCCAATCATCTCCCCAAAGCTCTGTTCCACCTGTGAGGGTGTCATTATAATTTAGAGATTGCGAAGTGTCAGAAAACCCTCCATTTACTTCCCCACTTACCTGGAACGATCACATGGATCCCCAGTGCTCCCAGGCTTGTGTTTCTGCGCTTTCTCTCTTCCAACCTGAATCACCACCCCAAACCCCTCTAATCATAAACAGGAGACTGGGGACCACCTTGGGGCCAGGGTCCTCTACCAGGATATTCCTCTGTCGTCTTAACGTTTTCCTTGAAGATCACAGAATCTTGACCCATTAACTCTCAGGTAAATGACTGAATTGTCCAACTCAAGAGGTCAGAAGAGGAACACACACACCCACACACAACACAGAAAGAACCAGGTCATCTTTCACGAACTGGTGAATTCACAGAAATCAGTGAATTAAGAAACAGAAAAACAGTGGAGTTAGTATATACATTAATAAATGGATTTTTTTGTAAGGGGTAAATGATTAATTATTTTATTTCATTTTTTTGAGACAGAGTTTCGCTCTTGTCGCCCAGGCCAGAGCTCAGTGGCATGATCTCGGCTCACTGCAACCTCCGCCTCCTGGGTTCAAGTGACTCTCATGTCTCAGCCTCCCGAGTGGCTGGGACTACAGGGTGCACACTACCATGCCTGGCTAATTTTGTGTTTTTAGGAGACACGGGGTTTCACCATGTTGGCCAGGCTGGTCTCAAACTCCTGACCTCAAGTGATCCACCCGCCTTGGCCTCCCAAAGTGCTGGGATTACAGGCGTGAGCCAACGTGCCTGGCCTCAAACAATTAATTAGACTAGTAGGTAGTCAGACCAAAAATAAAGAAGACGCAGATATAAAATTCAAAAGAAAAATTTGCAAATCTCTGCAAATAAGTCTGCAAACCTGGGCGACACTGATGATTTTTTAGGAAAATATAAATCATCAATGTAGGCCAAGAATAGACTTTTTTTTTTTTTAAGAGACGGGGTCTTGCTTGCTATACTGCCCAGGCCAGTCTCGGACTCCTGGGCTTAAGCTATCCTCCCACCTCAACCTCCTAAAATTCTGGGATTACAGGTGTGAGCCACTGCACCCAGCTAGATTTTTTTTAATGTAGACCAAAAATGATGAGTGTTATTAAGAAATTCTTTCCCTTCCATCAAAAAAAAAGAAGCAAAACTCAGACAGTTTTACAAGCTAGTTCTCTAAAAACTTCAAGGAACAAATAATTTCAATTTTATGTAAACATTTGCAGAGAACACGGAAACAGGGAGATCTCCCTAATTCTTTCCATGAAGCCAGCATAATAAATCAAGACAAACATCTGACCAGATCTCCTAATGTAGTTCACCTCCTTCATAGCTGAAAGGATAATAATAATAATAATTTCTATAAATAATAAAAATGGTATTTTGTGGGGGCCGGAGGCCAAGGCTGGCAGATTGCCTGAGCTCAGGAGTTCGAGACCACCTTGGGCAACATGGTGAAACCCCGTCTCTACTAAAATACAAAAAAATTAGCCAGCAGTGGTGGTGGGTGCCTGTAAGCCCAGTTATTCAAGAGGCTGAGGCAGGAGAATCACTTGAACCCGGGAGGCGGAGGTTGCAGTGAGCTGAGATCAAGCCACTGCACTCCAGCCCTGGGTGATAGAGTGAGATTCTGTCTCCAAAAAAATAAATAAAAATAAAATAAAAAATGTTTTGTAGGGGCCAGGTGTGGTGGTTCATGCCTGTAATCCCTGCATTTTGGGAGGACAAGATGGGAGGATCCCTTGATCCCAGGAGGTGGAGGCCAGCCTGGGCAACATGGTAAGACCCTGTCCCTAAAAAAAATTAAGAATCCAGCTGGGTGTGGTGGCACACACCTGTAGTCTCAGCTACTGGGGAGGTTGAGGTGGGAGGATCACTTGAGCCCGGGAGGTGGAGGCTACAGTGAACCGTGATTGCACCACCGCACTCCAGTTTGGGTGACGGAGGGAGACCCTGTCTCAAAAAAATAAAAATGTTGGCCAGGCTTGGTGGCTCACGCCTGCAATCCCAGCACTTTGGGAGGCCAAGGTGAGTGGATCACCTGAGGTTGGGAGTTTGAGACCAGCCTGACCAACATGGAGAAAGCCCATCTCTACTAAAAATACAAAATTAACCAGGCATGGTGGTACATGCCTGTAATCTCAGCTACTCGGGAGGCTGAGGCAGGAGAATCACTTGAACCTGGGAGGCGTAGGTTGCAGTGAGCCAAGATCGCGCCACTGCACTCCAGCCTGGGCAACAAGAGCAAAACTCCATCTCAAAAAATAAATAAATAAATAAATAAATAAATAAATAAATAAAAGTAAAAATGCTTTGTGAATAGTCATTGGTGGATCCCTTCTTCCTAATAATGAGAAGCTCTGGTCCTTTTTCCCTGAGTCAGCAACAAGGCAGGGACAACCACTACCACTATGTCCGCTGGGCCTCACTCCGGCTGTACCAGCCAATGAGTCAATGGGAGAAAGAGAAACAGATATTAGACAGGAACTGAAACCTTCCCATGCACACCGACCCTATGAAACAGAAGAACACCCAAGAGAATCGCAGGAGCACCTGTTATGGGAGGATGACCCGTTTCCAAGTCAAGACACCAAAAGTAATAACCTTCCCACAGACAAGTAGTTAGCAAATATAATTGCAGAAAACCTCCGATCTGTAAGGAAAGCAACCACAAAGACGTACAATACCCTAGGACTAGGCCTGAGGAGTCTGCACAGGAGCTGTCTGAGGAGAGCGGTGGACGTGACTGAAGGCACAGCAGGTGACTCTGCGGGAGGAATCCCTGCGCTTGGACAGGGAAGACTCAACTCCACGCTTCTCCCTAAAGAAGATCTCAGCGCTTCTCTGCCCGATCTTTTCCCTCCTCGCCCTCCCCACCACCTTTTCTGTCCCCTCTGTCCCATATCCCCTTCTTGGAGAGGACTGACCCCTGGTTCTCAGGCCCATGCAGGGGCTAACCCCAGCCAAGGCTGCCTCGGGACTTCCCCCTGCTCAGGCCCCAGCCGCTGGGCTGCCCTGGTTAAATCTCCGCATTCCAGAGACTATCGATCTGCTCCCCACCCCGACCCTATCTCCCTCACCGCCCCACCCCCTCCTCCGTACCCTGCACCTAGTGAGGCCGGCATCTCCCCCACCCTCCCCACACCCCCCTCCTCCATACCCTGCACCCAGTGAGCCCGGCATCTCCCCCACCCTCACCACATGCCCCTCGCAGTCAGTGGCTGCCACTCTCCACCCACCCTGACACATCCTGCCTCTCGTCCCCCTTCCTGTAAGAATTCAACTGAAAACCTAAAAGGTCCCTTTTCTGCACCCACCCCTTATCACTTGCCCCGCTGTGGTTCAGCCAAGGTACGTGGGTGCAGAGCCGGGAGAGGCCCTGGCTCCTTCCTCTCCCAGGGGTGTGGACCTTCATCTGTCCATCTTATGTGGTAGACAGAGCGCACCGCATTCTGCGTTCTGCACGGAGTCCAGACTCGGGGCGTCTCGTGTGATACCTGCCCTGCGGCCCTGCCCCTCGCACCCTCCCTCCCTGCCGCAGACTTTCCCGGGAAGGGAAACTCTCACCTGGGACCCAGAGAAGCAACAGAGCCCAAGGCAGCCACATGGTCCCTTCCCCAGCACAGGCGGCACTTGCAGCAGCTCCAGGCCCTACCTGGACCCGAGGGGAAAGTCACGCCTCCAAGGCCCCGACTTCTGCTTTTCTTGGTGCCGCGCTGCTTCCTTGTTCAGCTTCTTTTGGTTCTATTCCTGGAGCCGGTCAGAAAATGCAGGAAGCTGGTGAGCCCCGACTAAGACTCCCTAGAAACGGCACGTCCTCCTTAACGCTGGTTGAGGCTGCAGGTTCTTCGGCTATTTCTAGTGATGAGACCTCTCCCTGTAGTGACTCCGTAGCTTGCAGGACTGATCCCCGACTCTCACTTCCCCGGGTCTCCTCCTAGTGGAAGGCCCAATAACTCCTCCCTCCTTTCCTTGTGGTCAAGGTGGGCAACCCTGGGGGTGGGACCCGCTGAGCTGGCTCCTCTCACCCTCGGTGGTGCCCACGAGGAGGCTGCCAGGGGGAACTCCCCTTTCCTGAGTCCCTTCCCTGAGTCCCTTGGAGGTCCAGGCCTGGGCTTCGGGGCTGAGGGAAGGGGAGTTGTCATCGTGACTCCAGAGTCCCTGAATGGTTCCTAGTCTTGGAAATGTGTCCTCAACTTGACACAGAGGTCCTCCGGCCATGCCTTCCTTTCTATATAGCCCCATTGGAGCCAACTCGGGGCTGGGCACAGAGCAGGGACTCAGCGAGCCTGCAAGGACCCCTTTCCTGATCCACACAGAGTGCAGACTCTAAACACACACACGCTCACACTCACATACACACTCACACCCACACACACTCACCCACACACATTCACAAACACACACTCACATACACACACTCACACTCACCCACACACATTCACAAACACACACTCACATACACACTCACACAAACACACTCACCCACACACATTCACAAACACACTCACATACACACTCACACAAACACTCACCCACACACATTCACAAACACACACAAACACACTCAGCCACACACATTCACAAACACACAAACACACCCACACATTCACAAACACACTCGCATACACACAAACACACATTCACACACCCACACACATTCACAAACACACACTCACATACACACTCACATGCACACATATTCACACACACCCACACATTCACACTCACACATACACACAAACACATTCACAAACAAACACGTTCATGCACATACACTCACATATACACACTCACACACACATTCACAAACACTTTCACAAACACATACACACACGTACACACAAACACATACACACATTCACAAACACGTTCATGCACATACACACACACACACAAACATTCACACACCCACACACAAACACACACAAACACACTCACACTCTCACATACACACACACTCACCCAAACACACTCACATACACACACATTCACACACACCCACACACATACACTCACACAAACACATTCACACACCCACACACATTCACAAACACACACATACGCACACATTCACAAACACACGTTCATGCACACACACATATACACACACACAAACACACAGGCACTCTCACCCACACACATTCACAAACTCACATTCACACACAAACACAAATTCACACACACTGATACAAACACACATACACATTCACACATTGAAACACTCAAATTCACACAACGCACTTACATATACAACTGAAATACACTCACACATTCACACACAAACTCACACACTGACACATTCACACACAGTGACATACACTCACACACACACAGTCTCACACACGTGCCTTGAGTAGGTGCCCCAGCTTGCACAGAATGACCAGGTGGGCACAGGAAATGCCACTCCTAATGTGTAATGCGTCACCTGGGAGCTTGCAGTCCCCAAGCTCAGAGTGTCCACCCACATGGAGCCCTGTGCCAGCTATGGGATCCCAAGAATATCCTTCCCTCTGGCCCTTTTTGGAATTTGTCACTTTCCTCTTCCTTCTGAACACAGGGGCGCCTTGCCCACGAAGGTGTCAGGAAGCCAAGGAGACCTATGGGCTCTGCTGCTGGAAGATTCAATGACAAAGCCTGGTGGACATTGTGGAAATTTTCATGATGATGCAGTCATAGATTAACTAAACCTCATTAAGATCCAAGACACTTCGGGCCGGGCGCGGTGGCTCACTCCTGTAATCCCAGCACTTTGGGAGGCCGAGGCAGGCGGATCACGAGGTCAGGAGTTCGAGACCAGCCGGGCCAACGTGGCAAAACCCTGTCTCTACTAAAAATAAAAAAAATGTGGCGGGCACCTGCAATCCCAGCTACTCGGGAGGCTGAGGCAGGAGAATCGCTTGAACTCGAGAGGCAAAGGTTGCGGTGAGCCAAGATCGTGCCATTGCACCCCAGCCTGGGTGACAAGAGCAAGACTCCGTCTCAAAAAAAAAAAGATCCAAGACACTTTGGATCATGACACTGTTGAGCTGAACATAAAAATGCAGGAGATGTGTCATATTCGGTGGCTTATGTGGCCTGATCATTGCAAAGTTTCTCAAAAATTATTTTTTGATTCAACCATGACCAAAAAGGCGCTGCTGCAATCTTGAACGTCCAGGCCAGACAGAGAAGCAGAAGGCTAAGTTCTGGCGTGGCTTGTCCACTTACCACCGAATGAACTTGAGCAAAGCCTGTGGCTTCTGTAAAACGTCAATAATGACAGCTCCTCTGTGGGAATAAATATTATTATGATTATACAAATACTGAAATGTCAGTGTTCCTTAACATCCTCAGGTCAGTTTTTTCTGAGGGAATATATCTCTACTTTTGATGAAAGGTAATAGGAAAATTGGATTCCACAGGAAGTGCGCTTTACACTTTAATCTATGGGATGCAATTCTCCTTAGGCACATAGAGAAACACCTGACTTACTGCAAAGGAGAAGGGATCAGGGGACTTAGACCCTGCCACGCCCATCCTGCTCACCCCATCCTGTCCACAAACCCAAAGGAAGAAACAAAATGGTGCAAAATAACCACAAAACATGAGAGTTTTTTGCCGGAAGTTGCACATTCCGGCTGTGTCCCGATAACCATCAGGTGACATGACTCAGGGGGAGGAGGAGATGAGGCCACAGGGCTGAGGCCCATTTCCCAGGGGTGAGGGTGAGAAGTGGTCCCACAGCAGCCACAAAACTTCTGATCAGCTCTGGAGTCTCTTCCTGGTGTGGACACACGTGCTCAGAGGCCAATGAGGGGTGCTTTCTGGGAAGACCTGCAGCAGCAGCATTGAGTCCTGTGAACCACCCAGTCCTCAGAAAAGATGTGGGGAGTGGATGGGCTGTAGTTTCTCAGCAGAACTTCCCTTTTGAAAGCAGCCCAATCTCTAGAGCCACCCTCCCGCCAGGGCAGCCTGGGCTGTTCCCCATCCACTCTGTTCCTTCCTCCCCCTGAGCTTGAAGCAAGGAGGGCCTTGGCCCCATGGGTGCCACTCAAGGGCAGCCCAGAGGCTGGGCACGCAGAGCTGAGAGGCGGGATCAGGGCGGCGTGACTGTGGCCCCCTCATTGGGATGAACAGCTTGTCAGCTGCTGAGCACAGGATGGAGAGTGGGGGTAGGCTGACCTCTGGGGGGAACTTACTGCCTCTTGGTACTCTTGCTGTGTGTACTTTGAGTTGTGTACTCAGGGTCTGAATGAGATTTGCAGGGGGAGGGGCATTAGGAAAGGACAGAGGTTTGGGACTAGGAAGATCTCGCTTCCTTTCCCCAGGAGCCTGGGTGAGACCAGCTGCAAGAGCCTGACGCTGCCTGGGGACTGACCATGCCCTGGCCTCCTGCCCATCTCTGGGGAAGCTTCCCCACTCCTCCTGCACCCCCCAGAGGCTGAGGCAGCTTCAGCACCCCATGCCCCAGCATGTCCCACGGTCCCCGGGCCATACACAGTCCACACCAGCTGGTCACGATGACTGGTTACCTGCTCTCCTGCTTGGTCCTGGGTGTACCGTGGTCAAGAGGAAGAGAAAGAGGAAGCTGTAGGCAGATGTGTGGTGGTCACAGTCAGAGGCCTGGGAGCCTCAGCGTCCCCCAGGGTTTCCTGTCCACGGTGCCACTGCTCCATGCAGGCCCCAAACCCAATCACAGGGGCCTGGCCTGGAAATAACTTCTCTGCTTTGGAGAGAGGAGCCTGGCACGGGACCTGGCTCAATAGCCGGGGGCCTGTGGAGCTCAGCAAGGCACCAGAAGCGCTTAAGATTTGTGCATTTCAACAAAGTTACAACTCAACAAAAAACAGATTCAACGAGAGGCCAGTGGTCTGCATACCTGGAAAAAGAATCAGGCTGGGCGTGGTGGCTCACGCCTGTAATCCCAGCACTTTGGGAGGCTGAGGCGGGTAGATCACCTGAGGTCAGGAGTTCGAGACCAGCCTGGCCAACATGGTGAAACCCCCGTCTCTACTAAAAATACAAAAATTAGCTGGGCACGGTGGCAGCTGCCTGTAATCCCAGCTACTCGGGAGGCTGAGGCAGGAGAATCGCTTGAACCGGGAGGTGGAGGTTGCGGTGAGCCGAGATCACACGACAGCACTGCAGCCTGGGCAACAACAGCGAGACTCCATCTCAAAAAAAAAAAAAAGAAAGAAAAGAAAGGAAAAATAAAAAAATCAGTACAGCATCAAGCCACTTCTCAACCTCACCCCACGCCCATCTCCAGGGATGTATAGAGGTGGTGGTGGGAAGAGGGCGGCCTCTGTCTGGCACTGCCCTTTGGTGTCTCCGATGAATCCCAGGTAATTATCAGGGATAGCATCATGGATCAGGATGGGGTGGGAGGCGGGTAAAGGGTGCCTGCCTCAGGGAAGCCCCACGACCATGACAATGGTGCCGCACGGCGGGGAAGGTCAGAGCCCTGAGCTGCAGGTGCGTCCTTGCTTGGAGCCAGTTTCCTGGCCGTGAAATGGGAACACAGCGCTCCAGCCTGCCCTGTACTCCTCAGGCTGCTGGGAGGCCTAAAATGAGATCAGAGATGTGAATGCACCTGTGCAACCTTCAGGGCTGTTTGAAGGTGTTTGTTGAACTCCCACCATGTACACACGTGAATCTATATGCCTCACAGCTCAGAGAGATGAGGTCACTTGCCTGTAAGAACCCACATTTGTCCACCATATTGAACCCCAAACTCCAGCCCACTGTGCAGTAACTCCCTAGGGGGGGACCTCTGCTAGCCTTTCCCCTTGTTTTTTTTTTTTCTGTCACCTCCGCTGCCAGACCCCCTTAGACCCTTCCTGGCACTAATTAGTTGTTAGTTTTTCAAAGAGCTAACTCCCTCCTTCTTGCAAAGTGAGAGGAAACAGGGAAGCTTGTCAACTAACCAAGTACCAAAGTAGAAACTCCCAACAGAAGGAATGGGGCTTCCTACCTCTCTGGGGTTGAGGAATTGAGTGCTGTGTGTAGGTGCTGCATGTCAACACAGCTGAAGGCAAGGTCTACTGGCCAGTACCGGCCTAGCCTGGACCCAGGTGTGCCCAATAGATTCCTATCTGGCTCCAGGGCACCCCAAACCCCAGCATCTTCTCTCTGCTCCAACTCCTGATGGCTCACCTGGCTTCAGAACCCTGGCTCCAGGGCCAGGCCGGAGGCCCACGCCTGTAATCTCAGCACTTTGGGAGGCCGAGGTGGGCAGATCACCTGAGGTCAGGAGTTCGAGAGCAGCCTGGCCAACATAGGGAAAACCCGTCTCTACTAAAAATACAAAAAATTAGCCTGGCGTGGTGGTGCACGCCTGTAGTCCCAGCTACTCAGGAGGCTAAGGCAGGAGAATCACTTGAACCTAGAAGGCAGAGGTTGCAGTGAGCCGAGATCGCACCACTGCACTCCAGCCTGGGGCGACAGAGTGAGACTCCGTTTCAAAAAAAAAAAAAAAAAAAAAGAAACCTCACTCCACCTTGGCTCTGTCCCCACCCCCTACCCATCCCTGGTTGTCTGTCCCATAACTGGTTGGCCCCAAGTGGACACATTGTGGCCCTAAAAACTTAGGGTGGCAGGGAGGGGAGTGAGCAGAAGCTGGACAGAATGGAGCTGGGGTGAGCCAGATGGTGAAACTTAGCCCTGGAGCAGGCGGGTTGTGGGGAGGTGCTTGAGGGGGGTCCCACAGTCCTGTTCCTAACTCCCAAAGTGGCTGGAGCCAGGGGATGCAAATCAGGCAGTGGGACCCAGCAGCCAGCAAGGGGTGCAGTCGGCAGCCCCCTAAAGAAGCTGCTCTCCTTGGAACCCAGGCAAAGTCTAAACTGGCTAATCACAAGCAGCCCCTGTTGCCATCTGATGTTGGCTGCTAGAACTGCCTGCTTTCTTGGACAGGCAAATCTGTTCCTATCTCTGCATGTCTAGAAGTGGAGAGGCATCTGTATGCGGATCCTTCCAGATCCCCCAGCCAGTAGACCAGGAACAGGGGAAGCCTCCAGCCCCTTTGGAAGATTATCTGAAGGCTCCAGAGGGTGAAGCCCTCCAAGGGAGAGGAAGAGTGGATGAAAGGAGAGAGAGAGGCAGAAGTCACAGGGGAGGGCTGGGCGCAGTGGCTCAAGCCTGTAATGCCAACACTCTGGGAGACGGAGGCAAGAGATCGCTTGAGCCCGGGAGGTGGAGGCTGCAGACAGCTATGATTGTGCCCCTGCACTCCAGCCTGGGAGACAGAGAGAAACCCTGTCTCTAAAAAAATTATAAAAATGTTTAAAAAGATGTCACAGAGGAGGAAATGGCACAGAGCCCAGCCTTCAGACCAGGCCACCCAGGAGGGACCAAGGGTGCCACGGCTTGGCCTCTGTGGTCTCTTGGGCTCCTGGTTGGCAGTCGAGGAGACCCAGGGGGCTCTCAATGCCCAAGAAGGCCTGTAGCCCTGAGGCTGACCTGGGACTGTCCAGCTGCGGCATTAGCGTAAGCAGGCTGCAGCACCGTGACTCCACTGCCTGCCTCCGCTGGACTGTTCCAGGAGAGGGGAGGGGCTAGGGTGCAGGTGGGGAGTTGGGGAACGCCTGCCTTGCCTCTAGGACTGAGAGGACAAAGACAGGAACCTGGGTTTCAAGCCTCCCTCCCCTGCCCTGAGTAAGGTTACATGCTTTACCTTAAGGCTCTGGGTTCAAGGGACACTGCCCCAGGGCTACCAGCTGGCAGTGACCCCTTTGTGAACATGTGTTTTGGCCATGGGTGCAGGAACCCAAGGTTGCAACCTTAAATACTGCTGAGTGGCCGGGCGCGGTGGCTCACACCTGTAATCCTAGTACTTTGGGAGGCTGAGGCGGGTGGATCACTTGAGGTCAGGAGTTTGAAACCAGCCTGGACAACATGGTGAAACCCTGTCTTTATTTAAAATACCAAAAAATTATCCGGGCATGTTGGCAGGCACCTGTAATCCCAGCTACTTGGGAGACTGAGGCAGGAGAATTGCTTGAACCCAGGAGGCAGAGGTTGCAGTGAGCCTAGATCGTGCCACTGCACTCTAGCCTGGGTGACAGAGCAAGACTCCATCTCAAACAATAAAAAATAAATAAATACTGCTCAGATCTCTAGCTTCTAGAGAATAGGAGAGTCAACTTTTATCATGGGTAGTTTTGGGGGTGTATTAGTCAGGGTTATCTAGAGGGACAGAACTAACATAGATGTAGATATAAAGGAGAGTTTATTAAGGAGTATTGACTCACGCGATCACAAGGTGAGGTCCCACAACAGGCCATCTGCAAGCACAGGCGCCAGGAAGCCAGTCCAAGTTCCAAAACCTCAAAAGCAGGGAAGCTGACAGTGCAGCCTTCAGTCTGTGGCCAAAGGCCCAACAGCCCCTGGCAAACTACTGGTGCAGGTCCAAGAACCAAAAGCTGAAGAACTTGGAGTTCAATGTTTGAGGGCAGGAAACATCCAGCACAGCAGAAAGATGGAGGCTGGAAGACTCAGCCAGTCTGCTCTTTACATACCTGCTTTTATGGTGCCCTCCCAGATTGAGGCTGGGTCTGCCTTTCCCAGTCCACTGACCCAAATGTTAATCTCCTTTGGCAACACCCTCATAGACACACCCAGGAACAATACTTTGCATCCTTCCATCCAATCCAGTTGACACTCAATATCAACCATCGCAGGAGGTCAGAGTGTATATGTTGGGGTGGGGACTCAGGGTGTAGCAAAAACAGCAGCGACCTGGAGAGAGCTCTGTGGGGTGAAGCAGAAAGAGACATAACTCCGATGCAGTTTCCCGGTCCCGCTGACCACATTTGCTTACACAGATTCTGGCAGAAGTCTCAAGCCTGGGTGCACATGAAAATTCTTCGGGGGCCTTTGGGGGCAGGCATGGTGGCCCACACCTGCAATCCCAGCCAGTCAGGAGGCAGAAGCAGGATGATGGTTTGAGCCCAGGAGTCCTAGACTGGCCGGGCAACACATGGAGACCCTGTCTCTAAAGAAGAATAATAAAAACATCCATGCCTGAGTCCATGAGTGGAGCCCTGGCAGAGATTCCACGCCCTGAGGAAGAGGGAGGGTGGGAGGGCACTGCAGTGGGAGAAAAGAGGTTTCAGACACCAGACCGTGCATAGGACGGGGTGGAGGAAGTGCAGAAGTCGGCTGGCCATTCCACTTCAGGGAGATAGATATTCTCCAACCCCGGACTACCTAAGCTCTCTGCAGACAAGGAGGGAGTCCCTTCAGGGAGGACTCAGCATGACAAGTCCCAGCCTCCTGCTGAATCCTGCCCATAAAGTTGGTTCTGAAAGTGAATAAATGAATGAATGAATAGATGGTTGAATAGACCTCTTCTTTCTCCATCCCGAGCGTCCATGGCTTCCTTTCCCACCTGCCCCTTGTTATCCTGAGAGAGTCACAGCTTTCAAAGGCCCACCCCTCGCCTCCCCACCAGACCTTGTTCAGGGACCCCTACCCCACCCCTACATGACCTCACACTTGGACGGGCCGCCCCAAACCAGGGGACCAGGACGCGTCCCCCTAGGTCCGCCGCTCCAACTGATATCTAAGCACCACCATGCCCGCTAACGCCGCCAGGTGGCGCTCAGTGCCCAGGCACTGCCAATTTGTTCAACAAATATTAATGGCTGCCCCCATTGAGCCAGGCACTGGGTCCAAAGATAGGGACATGAAGATAAAAATACCGCAATATGTCCTTTTCAGGAGCTCATGGTTTCATGGGAAACATGTAAACAAAGACGGGAAAACAAAGGATTGCCTTAAAAGGTGAGAGGCAGAAATCCCAGGGGCCTGGGTAGGAAGGGGCCCCTTCTATCAGACGCAGGGAAACGGCCGGAGACAGTGGCCCGGGGATCCTGGACACCAGCCCCGTGCCTCCTTCTCAGCCCACTTGCTCACCCTCCCCCTTGAGGAATTCGGGAAGGAGAGTGAACAGAACCCTTGAAAAATACAGAAAAACGTCCAGCCTGTCCTCAAATGGGTCCTCAGTCATGGGGGAAGCTGGGGGACCACAGCCTTAGATCTCTTGACTCTTCTCTCTCCTACCCCAACCCTGCACCACAGTCCCTACACAAGCTCCCACCTCCACCACTGAAAAGGTGAGAAGGTGATGACTTGAAAGGCCTCCTGGTCACTCAATCACCCAGCTCCTTCTCCCGACTCCCCCAGGCAGTGGTGGAGGCAGCATTAACCCATCTCAGCCTCCCCTACAGTAGTGGGGCCCAAGTTTGACTGATGTAACAAACACCTTGGGTACTGGCTGAGAATGCAGATTCTGGGGCCTGCCTCGGACCAGCTGAATAAGGCGTCTCTCCAGTTGGGGACTGGGAATCTGTCATTTTAACAAATGCATTCAGATGATTTCTAGAATCAGACAAGTTTACGAACTGGAGTGCACGGGGGTTATGAGAACACCTGGCACTTCACGGGTGCCCAGGAGAGCACCCTCTTAACCTTTCTGACTATGACCAAAGGAGAGAGTCCCCCACCGCAACCCAGGCCGGCCATCTCCCTGGCCTACTTTCTTTCCTTTTTTTTTTTTTTTTTTTGAGACAGAGTCTCAATGTGTCACCCAGGTTGGAGTGCAGTGACACAATCTCTGCCCACTGCAAACTCCACCTCCTGGGTTCAAGCGATTCTCCTGCCTCAGCCTCCCAAGTAGCTGGGATTACAGGTGAGCACCACCAACCCCGGCTAATTTTTGTATTTTCAGTAGAGACAGGGTTTCACCATGTTGGCCAGGCTGGTCGCAAACTCCTGGCCTCAATCAATTCCCCCGCCTTGGCCTTGCCAAGTGCTGGGATTACAGGTGTGAGCCATGATGCATGGCCAACCAGCCTCACTTTCAAAGCCAGGACACAGCTGTCCCCAGGTGACCAAAGTTCCCATCAGTGAACCATCATCCCCATCACAGGGACATGAACACAGATGCAGGGATGGGGGTGACTTTGCCCTTGCAGACCTCAGAGCAGGTCACTATCTACAGACACCGTCAAGTAGCTGAGGAACTGGCACACACAGTAAGAGATTCCCCTCAGAGACCCAGGACACCGGGCTGCAGTGAGTTGTGGAGATGGAAGCCTCAGATTGGAGGAGGTGACAGAATTGTGTGCCAGACAGACTTGGATACTAGGAGAGAGATCAGTGTGGGAATTGATGTTAATTAGAATGATGGCACGGAGCAGCCTTTGATAAATATGGATGAAAACCTGATGAATGAATGAATTAATGAGCCAAATGCTATTCCCATGTCTGTTGCTGTCTGCCCCATGGGACACAGCATGTTTTATAATGATGAGCTACACGCTGAGAAACAGCACACCAATCTGCTCCACGGATGTAAATCTAATTCAGCCTTCGAAGAATCATTCAGCAAGGCTGGGTGGAGGGTGGGTGCCCCATGCCACATACATGCAATGAACACACACTCCCCGCCCCAGCCTCCTTGAAAACCCTCCCAAGGAGAGAATGAGTTGAAAATCTAGGCAGGCTAAAAGTTGGCCCATCTTTCTCAGGGGGAGAGATGAGGAAAGGGAGTGTGGCCGAGGGTAGCTCAGTCTGGTCTTTGTGAAGGCTGGGGCAGGGACGTCGCAGGCCACTGCAGCTGCTGGTGGGGGGCCACTGCTACCTTTGGCCCCTTTTCTTTCTTTCAGAAGAATTTTTTTTTAAAAATATGTAATTTATTTTTATGGAAAAGAGAGAAAGGAAGGAGAGAAAGAAAAAGCAAAACGAGACAGAAAAAATCTTCTTGTCCCTCATCTGCTTGGTACCAGGGGATTCCCACCCCCACATCCGACCCCCTTTCCCCCCACGCCCCCGGCCAACTCCCCCAATGGTCCACTTTAACATCTGCTATGGTGCCTTTTGTCTCTTTCCAGATTTCCTATGCAAATACAGTCAATTGTGAATACACAGGGGGAGGGGGAGCTACTAAAACCTCCCCCGTTAAGTCTGCAATTGGATTCTTCTGAAAATTCTGCTTTGCATGGCAGGGTGGCACGCAGTGGGGGTTGGGGCCAACAGTGCCCTGCCCCAGCCCTCTCACCACCTTCCTGGCTCTGATGACCGCTCCCAAATGGGCCTGGTGAAGGGACAGGGCGGGATCCTCCCCAGCTGGGACCGACTCCTTTTGTCTTTCCCACGCCCCACCCAGTGTGTGCGTGTGTGTGTGTGTGTGTGTGTGTGTGTGCGCGTAAGGGGTGGACCCTGTGGGCCAGGATGCCCCCTGACCTTCAGCCCGGACAGCCCCTGGGCTCACACGGCGGCCTCAGCCCAGCTTCTCTTGGGAACCTCAGGCTGCCCATGGACACCCAGTGCCTGAGTCTCTTTCCGGTGCCCCAGCTGGCCTGACTGCTAGTGATGGGCTTGTCCCCAGCATCCCCTGTGCCAGCACCCACATCAGGGTGGGGGCACCCTACGGTGAGAAAGCCTGGCAGGTCACATGCTGCCGAAATACTGTCAGGCCAAGGGTCACAGTTCCCAGGCCAGCCTGAAGCAGCTGGCAGCGCCGGGGAGAAGGGGAGGCCAGCACCAGCTTCCTGGCTGCAGGGACCTCGAGCTCCAGGCCCCCAGCCCGTGTGGCTGCCTCAAATGCCCACCGAAAAACCCTCGGGGAGTGGGTTTCCACCCGGAGAGTTTGCCCCCAGGGGACGTTTGGCCGTGTCCAGAGACATTTGTGGTTGTAGGGTTAGGGGGCTGGCTGTGCTCCTGGCATCCAGTGGAGGGGGTCAGGGATGCCGCTCAATATCCTGCAGTTCCCGGGCCAGCTCCACTACACAGCGATCCGGCCACAAATGTCGCTGGTGGAGCCGAGGAACCCCGGCCTAGAGCCAGACGTAAGGCAGCGACAGGGCTCCCCGTGCCCTTGGCCTCACTACCTCCACCCGCGGAAACTCCATGGCCCGGCGGGCCTCCGGAAGGGGATTCTTCCCTTGGGAAAAGGGGCCTGCTTCCCTGGCGTCACCCACCCCACCCCCGTCTCTGCGGGGCCTGAGAGACACAGGGATAAATGCGGCCCCCGCAATCCCTAGCGGCTGCGAGGCCCAGCTCTGAGGGCGGGGATGGGCGGAGCGCGGCGGCCCGGCCCCCAGGCTACAGCAGGAGCTGGGACAGCTGGCTTCGGCCGCCGCCCCGCGGCGAGGATCGGGTTGCAGGGGCCGGGGCGGGGCTTGGGGTGGGGCACGAGAGGCGGCCTCGGGTTGGCTGGAGCTGGGGTGGCCGGGCCCTCGCGGGAGAGGCACGTGGGCGCGCCGGCTGCTCGGGCCCACCCCCACCTCCCCCCACCTTCACTGCCCCCCACCGCCCCCCACCTCCCCCAACCCAGGTGCGTGCGGGGGAGTGGGCTGTCTGCGGGTGGGGTTCCGGGGCCCCGCCCCCTCTCCCAGCCGGGTCAGGTTAGGACGCTGGGTTAAGGACGGAGCGTAAAACCTTCCCTGGGCCCGGGCCCCCGCGGACCCTCTCCTGCCGTCGGTGGAGTTGGGGGTGAGGCAAGCCACCGTTGCCTTTAGGTGAATCAGAAGGAGCCACTTCCAGGCCCCTGGCTTGGAGGAGTCTGCGGAGGTGAGGGGTCGGCGGATGGGGCGGACAACCGGTCTGGGACCGGCCCCATTCACCCCCACGGGACCCAACTTCTCTCTCCAAAGCACAGCCAGGCGGTCACCCTGTGTCTGCCCAGTTCTGCTCCAGACTTTGAGTCGGAACCCCTGGGGGTGCATCTGCGGCAGAGCCCTGGGGCTTTAGGTCCCCTCTCCACTGCTGGGGACACCAACTCCAGGGCTTAGACAGAGCTGGAGACATCGGGGTGTATTTTACAGATGAGGAAACCCTTGCGGGGGCGAGGGGTCAAGGGAGCTGTCCAAGGCCACAGAGCTAGCTGGAGCCAGGCCCTGGTCCGAGATGCCCTGCCTGCCACGAAGGTGCCGCTTGGGAAGGGGATACCCGGGGAAGCTTGCTGAAGGCACCTGCGTGCTTAATCCCAAAACGCATTTGCTGGGACTCACATGGCCACTCCCACTTCAGCCCTCAGGCCTGACCTGGCAAAGGAGGGCAGAGACCAGATCGCTCTCATCTCCACTCCCTCCCGTCCACCCAGTAGACAGTGGACATTTGCTGGCAGAAAGCAGCTCCGTCCCAGATCTTCAGCCTAGCTTCTTAGGCTTCCTGTGCACCTGGCGACCCTCCTAACGCCTCTGCTAGCCCTTCTCCCCTGCCAGTCAGGGCGCGGGCACTGCCAAGGGTCTCTCTCCTTAGCATCCTCTTCCAATCGTGGCAACCTGCCAAGCCACCCACTCTGGGGACCCAGGGCATGAGGCAGCATAGAGGGAAGGGAAGATGTGGCACCAGGAGGTGCCAAACTGAAATCTGGCCAGAAGACCTGCTTGTCTGGGCAGGAAACACTGGGCAGATGGTGCCTGGACGCTCTGCCTTGACTGTGACTTTCGTGGGGGTTATCTGGAGGGGACAGAACACCAAACACAAACTCAGGGGGCTGGTACCCCCATTTTTCAGATGAGAAGACTGAGGAAGGACCAAGGGAGCTGCTGAAGGTCACAGAACTACTAACAGCCAGGATGTGAACCCGCAGCCTCTGATTCCAAAGTCATATTTTCTGCGTGCTGCAGAATTGCCTCCTGCGACAAGGGCATGGGTCGCTGCTCCCCACCTCCTTCTCTGAGGGTACTGGTGTCTCCCTTTTAATCACCCGCACCCCAGAGGGACGCACCGCTCCAGCCTCTGCCTATCAACAACCTTTTTTCAAGGAGGATGAGGTCAGAACCGCACCCTGAGCCCAAGGAGGATGAGGTCAGAGCACTCCCGGTCTGGTGCAGATGCTAAATAATTCATGCAGCTGCTGTGAACAGGGGCTGCAGCTTCCTGGAGGGCCCAGAGTGGAGACGGCAGACAGGAAACAAATCCTGGTTCCTGGCACCTGTGCCTGACCTTGGCGCATCCTCCGGGGGCTAGTGAAAATGCTGCCCTTGGCGAGAATGGCTTGGAGGGCCAACAGACCCTTCCAAGCAGCACCCCCACAGGGCAGGCACTTAGCCTCTGTTGCTTGCTCTCTTCTATGAGCTGTGGGGGGCTGACGAACAAGTGCAGGGCCATGAGTAAACTGGAAAGCCAGGAAAGGCACTCGGCAGGCAGGTCTTCATGGCCCAGGGGATTTACCAGCCATCCCTGGTTCTGTGCACTGAGAATTTCACCCAATGGGTATCCTGGCTGCCTCTTCCAGCCATGCCAGGCAGCAACAGGGATACTTTTGGGGTCGCCTCCCTCCCCACCCACATCTTGTGTAGGTGTTAGAGTTCTCTGGCCTTGACGGGTTGAGAGCTCAGTGGTTTTTGGAGGCCTGGTTTTCCCCTTAAAATAAATCCCCAACAGAGAAAAAGGTTAGTTGGAATCAAACAGCATTTGTTGGTGTAAAAAGCAAGAGGTCTAGCAGGGAAATACACATGAAAAAAATCCCAGAGGCAGGGTCGGGGGTGGGGGAGCAGGCACCTGGAATCCCAGCTACATGGAAGGCTGAGATGAGAGAATCGCTTGAGGCCAGGAGTTCGAGACCAGCCTGGGCAACGTAGCAAGACCCTGTCTCTAAAAATAATTAAAAAAAAAAAAAAAAAACTAGTAACTCCCAGAATTTATGAACACACAGGAATTCAATGGCAGTAAGCCCTCACCCATGGAAGGTAAGGTCGTTTAATTCTGAGCAGTTATTAAGTCCAAAGTCCTCGGTTTGACAGTGGTGGGTGTGAGATTTCCCATAGTGTTGGCTGGATGATGGTGAACCTGTGACAGGCTCTGCCTCTTCTAGTCTTTTTCCATTCAACGCTTGTTTGTGATGCCACTCGACCACCTCAAAGAAGCTGCCTCTCTCCTCCTAAGAACTCATCTAACTTCTTCTCCACTTGGCCCGGGCGGGAGTAAGCAGGGCCAGTGGGTACTCCTGAATACAGGCAGGCCTGCATCTTTTAGGATCCCATCCCTCCCTGAGCCTCACGCGCAGACCCCCAGAGGACTCAGGCTATACACACACCCACGTCCACTGGAGACTGCAGCCTCTGGGTATCAGGCCCTGCCGGGGACTCCTTTGAAATTATCACATAGGAAAGCAACACAGCGCCTTGATTCACTAAGGGATCTTGGGGCCGCTAAGCTAGACCAAGGGCAGCGTGAGGTCCACAGAGCTCCCTGCTTCCCTTCCACTGGAGGGAAATAACATTCTGTTCATGGACTTCGACAGGCAACACAGAGAGGTCGGGGGCCACAGTCAGAGCTGCAATCCTACTCTGCAGGGATTGCTCGCCCAATTTAGCTCTGGAAAAGTATGCCAGTGACAAAGGCACAGGCTGCTGGGGACGGGGGTAGCACCAGAGAGCTGTGGGACTGACTACAGGGCACCTCTCCAGAGAGCTGCTCTGGTCGTCATCCTCCACCCCGGCACCCAGAGGTGCTGCTGGGCTGGGGACTGAGCTTTAGGGCCCACCTTGGATAAGGGCAGGAAAAACCTCAGGAAGACAATGTTATAGAGAGCTCATTTTCACGAGCCTGGAGCTGTGCCCATCTCTGTCTTTGGTGCCAGCACCATGGAGGTACCCCCTCTTTGCTGGGTGACCGTCAGGACCCTCTGGAGCATGTCCGAGGGCTCAAAATACAAGAGGCTCCTCCAGTGATGAACCAGCGCCAGCATATCCAGGTGCTGCCCAAGATGAGGTAGAAACAACACATCTGCCCATCAGGAAATAGCACAGTCTTTAGTTCTGGATCCCGCTTACCTGAGGATCCCACTTACCTACTTACATATCTGCCCATTAGGAAACAGCATAATCTTTAGTCCTGGATCTCACAGGCCTCCCACGTCCCACAAGTCCCAGTCACGAGAGAGGCCTAGACTCCAGTTCATCTGGTCCAGGGCTCTCCACTGGTCCCTGAGAATGCAGTCCTGACCCCAACCCCATGTGTCCTAAGGTACTTCCAGGCCCTGACCAGAGATGTTGGAATAGCCACAGCAGGCCCCTATTGCATTCCCAGAACCTGTGAGATCCAGGTAATCAGGGTCATGGACACCTGTTCCTGCCACAGGAGCCACCTTGAACCCCAGATGCCAGCGTGGCCTGCCATTCCTAACTCCTTAGTGAGCACTCCATGAGGTACTGCTGGATGGAGAGAGCTGCCCTCATCTCAGCAGGCTCATCCTCATCCCAGACGTTGAGGGGCACTGCGGGCAGAGTGCAGGCAGGGCTGGCCCTGGCTTGCTTGTGGAAACTGCTTTGTGGAAGATGGGGACGGCTCAGTGGCTCTTGAGTGAAACACCCCAAGGGCTCAGATCCAGGACCCACAGGCCGTGGAGAGAAGCAGTGTGCCCAAGCCTCGGGCTGAGCTCTGCCCCCATCTCAGTGGCCTTCCACAGTCCAGGTGGTGGCAGGAGGCCCTGGTGAGAAGGGCAAGGGCCAACTTCTGCCCTGGCTTGGCTCCAAAGACTCATGGAGGAGATCCATCTAGGCAGAGGGTGGGACAAGCCAGTGCCAGACACCAAGATGGCAGGGCCAGGAAGGTCCAGAGTCAAGACGGGGCACTGAGGCCTGTTGTTCACAGAGGGGAAGAAGGCAATCTGAACCACAGCTTGGGGACACAGGGACTATGATTTGGGGGGAGGGGGGCGTGTCAAGAGGGGAGTTGGAGGCAGCCTGGGGGCCCGCGGACAGCTCCTTGTAGCTGCAGCCACCTGGGGACCAGGAAGATGGGCTGGGCAGGAAAGGGAGGTGGCCCTAGGCGCTCCAGTCACACACTCAGGGCTTCACGGGGGCCCACTCGGTCCACTGCTTCAGGTTGGTGGCCTCCGGCCCCTCCCAGCTCCAATGACAAGGATGGGAAAGGTGCTGGGCCCGGTCCAGCCTGGGTACAGAGGAATGAGGATCAGGATGCCGTGCAGTCCCGGGAAGAGGGCTTCTACCATCTCGTTTTACTTTGTGGGGACTGAGCCTAAAGTGACCAGAAAGAACAAGAGTCAAAGGGGACTCTACTGCGTGGGGCCCAAGAACTGGTTTTTACTTAAAAATAGTGTTTCAGTCCCCAGGAGGCTAATGCAATCTGAGCATAGAAGGAGAATTTTGGGAGAAGTTTATTTTTTCTTCCCAGCAAACTTTCTCTCCCCTTCAAGTTTATTTTTTTTTTCCCAGCAACCTTTCTCTCCCTTTCAACAAAAACATTTTTTCCCCTACAACCGGTATCAGAAAATAGCTTCTGACTAGCTGGGGAGAAACATTCCCAAGCCTGGGAGGAGCAGGCTCCCCGGGGCCGGCCTGGCAGCCCCCTGGCAAAGTCTTGAGCCAGCGTCCAAAGGTCAGGACCCTGCTGTCTCAACCACATGGCTGGAAGTGCCACCCACTGGACTGGCTTACCCAGGGTGGGCCACGGAGAGAGGCTGCTGGACGTCAGAGTCTTAGGAAAACCTGGTTGGTGTTGGCCTGGCCTCTCTGGGTCAGTTCGCTTACCTGTAAAAGGGGGCGGTAGAACTACTCTGAGGCCCTGTCTCACCCCAAAATGGTACAGTTCTGGGATTTTGAATCTGGAAAAGGGATAGAATACTAGTCCTTCCCACCTTCCAGGGCAGCCTTGGGGATTAAAATGAGCTGATGGGCCGAGAGTGGTGGATCATGCCTGTAACCCTAGTACTCCAGGAGGCTGAGGTGGGCAGATCACTTGAGGCCAGGAGTTCAAGACCAGTCTGGGCAACATGGTGAAACCCTGTCTCTACTAAAAATACAAAAAGTTAGCCAGGTGTGGTGGCACATGTCTATAATCCCAGCTACTCAAGAGGCTGAGGCAGGAGAATTGCTTGAACCTGGGAGGCGGAGGTTGCAGTGAGCCGAGATTGTGCCACTGCACCCTAGCCTGGGCAACAGACCAAGACTCTGTCTCAAAAAAAAAATTAAATTAAATTAAATTAAAAAATGAGCTGCTGAGGAAAGGCTTTTGCTTAGTATAAGTACCGAACAAACTGACTTTCTTTTTTTGAGACAGAGTCTCGCTCTGTTGCCCAGGCAGTAGTGTAATGGTGCAATCAAAGCTCACTGCAGCCTCGACCTCCTGGGCTTAAGAGATCCTCCCACCTCACCCCCTTGAGTAGCTAGGACTAATGTCTGGCTAATTAAAAAAAAATTTTTTTTTTGTAGAAACAAGGTCTCACTATGTTACCCAGGCTAGTCTGGAACTCCTGGGCTCAAGCAATCCTCCCACCTTGGCCTCCCAAAGTGCTGGAATTACAGGCATGAGCCATCGCACCCCGCATAAATGGACATTTTAATGACCGCTCGGGAACGAAACCAACCAGGACCTGGCCCAACCCTTTGCACTTTTGTCAACCCATTTGTAAACAATTCCTGACCCTCTCTAGGCCATTCCTTTGCACGTATCACACGGTGTGATCTCAAAGCATGGAGCAGAATGAGTCTCCACTTTGTCCGCTATGGGATCTTCACTGTCATTCATCCCAGGAGAAGCTGAAATGAGTTCATCTTCCCTTACACACAGAGCCACCTGGCTCAAGGCTCACCTTCCCAGTCCTATCCCCACAGCCACTGGAGGGGGGTTCCCAGAGGAAAGCTGCCTGGCCTCAGACAAGCCCAGGTGCGGGACTGCATCCTAGGCACGCACTGAGCCTGGGTGTTCATTCTGATCGCACACAATACAGACAGAGGACCTGCTAAAGAACCACTCACTGGGGAGAGGCATCAGCTACTTAACTGCACAGGAAAAATCTGCAGCAGCTTTAAATGTGAGCTGGATTTGGAGGGAAGAAAGAGAAGTCACCCACAGGCCATGGTGGAGGAGACGTTCATCAGAAACCAGGAGGCCAGGTCAGAAACCACAATCCCAGAGCAAGAGTTAATAAAGCAGAAATGTATTTATTAGGCACCCTTGTTCCTCACAGAGGAGCAAGATCCAGGCCTGAGCGCCTGGGAAGTCTCTTGAGGTTGCAGGAATCTCCAGAGAAACATAGGCGCTGCCCAGCCACCACCCCGAGAACACTATTTGGCTGGAGTGTGACCGCCGAGGTGATCCTGGCAGGAGGCTGGGGTTGGCTCCTCGACTCCACAAACACTGAGGAGTGGGTGGGGACACCCATGACACCCACCCAAACACTGGCAGAGAGGGAGGCCCTTCCAGATCTGGGGCACATGTTGCTGGGCCTGCCAGGGGGAGGAGGAGCCTGGAGAGTCCCTTGCCCGGGGCCAGGTCCTCAGGGCCCTCCCCAAATCCGCCCGCCTCTCCTCGCCACCGCTGACTCAGTCCCACACGTAGGGGTTTCTAAAGACCTGAGAGTTCTTGCCGTCTTTCGGCGGTGTGGCCGCCTGGTGGCTCTGGGCCGAGTACATGTCTTCAGCCCGCAGGGTCGAGTTGGCACTGCCCATCACCTGGCTGTTGGCGGTGGCCCGTGGGAGGATGATGTCGTAAGCTCCTTCGGACTGGAAGGAAGAACAGGCGGTCTCACAGTCGGGGATTGGGAGCCAGGTTCCGCCGGGGCGGATGCACAAACACTTCCTGCAGGGCTGGGACTGCCAGATCCCCCCCAACTCCCCCCTCGGCTCCTCTGCCCCCTCTGGCTGGGCCCCAGGAGCAGCCTGGGACAGCCAGACCTGAGCCCCTTATCTCACCCTGCCTCTGGGCATGGGAACGAGGCCCCTGCTGACCTTGGATGGTGCTGGGGCTTCACAGAGGGGGATCCCCTTCTCAAGACCCTCCTACTTCCAATTGTTTAGGGAAATGCTAGGGCCAGTGGAGAGTCAGCCACACAGAGCTGCTACTACCTGTCTGACATAGCTCCCAGGCCCCCTTCCTCCAAGAATCTTTTTTTTTTTTTTTGAGACGGAGTCTCGCTCTGTCGCCCAGGCTGGAGTGCAGTGGCGTGATCTCGGCCAACTGCAAACTCTGCCTCCCGGGTTCACGCCATTCTCCTGCCTCAGCCTCCCGAGTAGCTGGGACTACAGGAGCCCGCCACCGTGCCCGGCTAATTTTTTGTATTTTTATTAGAGACGGTGTTTCATCATGTTAGCCAGGATGGTCTCAATCTCCTGACCTCGTGATCCACCCGCCTCGGCTTCCCAAAGTGCCGGGATTATAGGTGTGAGCCACCATGCCCGGCTCCTCCAAGAATATTACCCCGAGTCGACCGCCTGTCACTACCATACCCCCAGCATCACAGTTGCTGGCTTCCCTGGCGGAGGACATGGCTCTGGGTGTGCCCACACATCTCTCTAGGCATCTAGTCTGGCCGGTCTGATTTGGAGTCTTTTTTTTTTTTTTGTAGAGATGGTGGGCGGGGGGGGGGGGTCTCACTACGTTGCCAGGGCTGCTCTCGAACCCTCGGCCTCAAGCAGTTCTCCCATGTCAGTCTCCCAGAGCACTGGGATTAAAGGCATGAGCCACTGCAACCAGCCCTGATTTGGAGTCTTGAAACCTGAATTCTCTGCCTGGCGCTGGGTCTTGCTCCCATGTGGGTGAGAGACACCAGCTGTGGGGTGAAGAGGGTCCTGAGGTACCTGTTCCGGCTCCTATGCTGGAGGAAAGGTGTATTCCTGGCCCCATCTGTCTTAGCCCTATGGGAAAGAGCTGCCACCAAATCTCTGTAGCTCCCAGACCCCAAACTAGCCTTCAAGTCAATCAGGCCCAGGAGGTCCTCAGGCCTGTCTGCAATGGCCCCTGTCCATGTGGTCCCTGGAACATCTACATCTGTGGTCCAAAACCACAGATGAGTGTGCATTGGAATCACCTGCACTGCTTGTTAAGCCTCACCAACTCATAGCTGGACCCTACACAGTCCCCACGCAGACTCCACCAACTCATAGCTGGACCCTACACAGTCCCCACCCAACACAGCTGGCCCCATGCAGCTGGCAACAGCTGGGGCTGGGGGAGGGAGTGCTGAATGCTGGGCTTGCAGATCTGCGCTGGATAGTGCCCCCATGGTGCCGACGCCCTGAACGGATGCTAACAGTCAGCTCCATCCCAGCTCTGGCCCCGCCCCATCTGCACTTTTTTTTTTTTTTCTTATTTATTTATTTTTGGAGACAGAGTCTCACTCTGTTGTCCAGGCTGGAGTGCAGTGGTACAGTCTGTGCTCACTGCAACCTCCACCTCCCGGGTTCAAGGGATCCTCTGGCTAAGGCCTTCCTAGTAGCTGGGACTACAGGCATGTGCCACTATGCCTGGCTGATTTTTGTGTTTTTAGTAGAGATGAGGTTTCAGCATGTTGGCCAGGCTGGTCTCAAACTCCTGACCTCAGGTGATCCACCTGCCTCAGCCTCTCAAAGTACTGGGATTACAGGTGTGAGCCATTGTGCCTGGCCCCCATTTGCACTTTGAGCAGGCTCCCAGGTGAGGCTAGTGCTGGTGGTCCGGGTACCATGTTTTGAGAACCGGTCAGATAAAATATCCCTGTTAATCCAGATCATCCCCCAGGAAGCAGACTCCAAACGCGCTGGGGAGTGAGGTGCAGCAACAGTGAAGGAAGCTATTCAGCAAAGGCTTCTGTGGCTGCCCACTCCCCGCCAGAGCTGACAGCCCGCAGCCTCCACTCCTGGTGCTCCGGAAGCTCTCCTCTGCCCAGGCTCAGGTTCAGGCTCAGGGAGAGGGGAGGCGCTGGGATTGGAAGCTTCAGCCACACTCACCTCCCCCTGCCCCGCGGCTCTCACAGAGAGGGCGGGGAGGGGGATGAGAACGCCACCCAGCTGACCTCCTTGTTTCCTGTTCCCAGTGTCCTGCCAAGACGGGTCACTGACCTCTCCCCACAGCCTCTGCCAGCCGGGAGGAGGAACACATATAGGAGTGAGTAGAATCCAACCCACCGTCTTCCTGCTCCCTCCCCCTCCCCTGGCTAACGATGCTTCTAGTTTCCAGAACCCAGGGGGAGGTGTAAGGTCGAGACTTGCTGCCTGCCAGAGAGGGAGGAGAGTGTGGGCCCCCTTGGCACAGCTGTGGTTGAGAAGTAAACACCTATCCAGACCTGTGACATTTGGACCCCTGTCTATTTTGGGAGCACCTGGCTGAGACCCTCCTTTGTCCCTCCCCAAGCCCTCCAGGGTAAAGCTGGCAGCTCCCACCAGGGAGAGCTCACCCAGCATTCCCTATAGCATCCCGACACAACCTGTGTGCAATGCCCCAGTGACACAGGGCGGGTCCCACTGCAGTGCAGCTGAAGGTGGTGGGTACACTGACTCCAGGACAAGGAATTTAAGAACTGGGGCTCTGGATTCCCCAGGTAAAAGCACCAGATGGAGAAGCTTGCCTTCCCCTTACCACCTCCACCCAACCCAGCTCTGGCCACATGGCCTTCTCCCACTGGCCTGCTGAGGCTGGTCTCTGTAGCCCAGACGTGTCACGGGGACCTGGGGAACCCACTTACCGGAACTTTGTGCATCAGGGCCATCTCAGTGGGCTGGTACACACTGGTCAGCAGCTGCCCATTGTACCCGCTGTATGGTGACACCGGCCTCTTAGCTACAAGGAAAAGCAGGAACAGTTTGAAGATCCCAGGGCTCTCAGCTCCCTTCCCCACCTCCCACAAACCAAGCAAGGCTCTCTGGGGGCAGGGAAGAGGTAAAGGGGGCAGGCCAACCCTGGCATAGTCTCTAACCCAGGAGTGGCCAACTTGGGGGTGAGGTTGTGAACACGGGGGCCCCCTCCCAAGCCTAGCACCCCTTTGTACAGATGCATGGGAGTGAACAACACTGCTGAGCTTCCCTGCACTGTAGACACCCCAGCCCCTGACCCAACAGCTCAGAAAATGCTCTGTCAGCAACTTCCACATCCCCATCCGCCCTCCGGGGCCAGAGGCCAAGAGGACACATGGGCCTTCGGCCGCCTTCCAAGATGGCCAGCCTCCAGCTCTGCCTGTCACCACGGGCCAGCTGCCAGGCACAGAGGTAAATACATCTGAGAGCCCTCGGCCTAAGCCTGTTCATGTCCTCCCAGGGCCGACCTGGGCGCCCCTTCCCCACTACACCAACCCAGAGCCTGGCCAGGGAGCCTTAACGCACGTCCCAGCCTGTGGCCCCCTGGCAAGTTTCCAGAACTATTTTTAGCTCCAGGGATACTTCCTTGTGCCTTTGGGGTGTTGGTTTCCCGGTGTGTTCCGCCCTGCTGGGCACTCCCAGGGTGTTTGAGGAGGGCTGCTGACGCACCCCGGGGCCTCGGAGCAGGCCTTGCTGTGAGGACGGCACAGCGGACGTCTGGCTCCGGCAAGGCTGACGGCCCTGCAGTTCTGAGGGACCGCAACCTATATAGAGTTTCCTAAGTGCTGGGGCTGGGCTCACTCTATTGATTTTTCCATTTAGAAAAAAAAAAAGGAAGTAAAAACTCAGCCCCAAGGTTGAGAACCATTTGGCCCCGACCGGCATTCAGTGTGGGGGCGGGGCCTGAGGCTCCTCCCAGCACTTGTCTGTAAGCCCCACCTCTCTGGTGGGTTTTGCCAATTCCACCCCCGCCATGCACACCGTGCGTGTGACAGGGGCCACCCAGGGGTGAGGCCAGCACCTCAGCCCAGGTGGGCAGATCAAAGATCAAGTGCCCGGCAGGACAAGGGTCATCTCTTTCTCCAAAGCAGGGATTATGAGGATTTCACAGTGTGTAGAAGAGAAAGGAATGTCTCTGATTCTGGAACTTCCACTGCCTGACTCTGACCTCCCAGCAGAGACCCCAGAGCCGGTGCTTGTTAACCGGGCAGTTAAGAAAGTCTGAAGCCCCCAGGCCTCCAGATCAGCACAGTCTGGGGGCAGGGTCAGGACTTTGAGATGGCACCCCCAAATTTCCAGGTCATGTCAGATGAGGGGCTGCAGCCAGCAGGCTGAGGAAGAGCAGGTGGGATGCGTGCAATGGGCCACATCGGTAAGGGGATTAGCACAGGGGCTGGCACAGAGCAGGTGCTGAGGAAATGCTAGTGGGCTGTACAGCTAACAAGGGCGCTGCTGAGACCACTACACGGCACCCCAAATACTTTTATTAAAAAGAGAAAAAGGCCAGGTGCAGTGGCTCACACCTGTAATCCCAGCACTTTGGGATGCCGAGGCAGGCGGATCACTTGAGGTTAGCAGTTCGAGACCAGCCTGGCCAACATAGTGAAATCCCGTCTCTATTAAAAATACAAAAATTAGCCAGGTGTGGTGGCACGTGCCTGTAATCCCAGCTACTTGGGAGGCTGAGGCAGGAGAATCTCTTGAGCCCGGGAGGCGGAGGTTGCAGTGAGCCAAGATCACACCACTGTACTCCAGCCTGGGTGACAGAGCGAGACTCCGTCTCAAAAAATAAAAAAAGAGAAAAAAATTACCTGAAAAATACTTCCTTTTAAAGAAAACTAAGGTGATTATGGATACATACATAATAGAAAAACAAGTTCTGGAAGGATAGTATTAGTAAAATATGTAAAATAATAGACACGCACACACAGCAAATAGCTAATTCTTCAAGAGTGCTTTTCATGGGCCGGGCACTAAGTAATTTTTTTTTTTTTTGAGATCATCCAGGCTGGAATGTGGTGGTGCAATCACGGCTCACTGAAGCCTCAACCTCCTGGGCTCAGGCAATCCTCCTGCCTCAGCCTCCTGAGGAGCTGGGACCATAGGCATGCACTACCACACCTGGCTAATTTTTGAAATTATTTGTAGAGACGGGGCCTCACTATGTTGTCCAGGCCGGTCTCAAACTCCTAGGCTCAAGCTCCACTCACCTCAGCCTCCCAAAGTGCTGGGATTACAGGTGTGAGCCATGGCGCCCAGCCGGCACTAATTAATTCAATCCTCACAAGAACCCTATGAAATAGGTACTGACATTATCCCCATTTTACAAATGGAGAAACAAAGGCACATAGATATTATATCAGTCAATAGTGGTCACTTCTGGGGATGGAACAGGATGGGACGGGTAGGACTGGGGAGGCAGCTGGGGAAAATTTCATTTTATCTGTAATGTTTGAAATTTTACAGTGAGAATGTATGCATGAATTATATGAATATAGAAAAAAAATCTTATTTATTTATTTATTTTGAGATGGAGTCTTGCTCTGTCACCCAGGCTGGAGTGTAGTGGCTCGATTTTGGCTCACTGCAACCTCCGCCTCCCAGGTTCAAGTGATTCTCCCGCCTCAGCCTCCCGAGTAGCTGAGATCACAGGCATGAGCCAGCACACCCAGCTAATTTTTTTGGATTTCTAGTAGAGACGGGGTTTCACCATGTGGATCAGGCTGGTCTCGAACTCCTCGTCTCAAGTGATCCACCCGCCTTGGCCTCCCAAAGTGCTAGGATTACAGGCATGATCTACCATGCCCAACTGAAAAAAAAAAATCTTTAAATTAAATGGAATTTAGAGACACTTAGGCAGAAAACTACAGAAAACCTCAAAAACTTTCCATTTTGCTCAAGAGACTGGCTCCCTGTCCTGCAGTAAAAGACATGGGATGGAGAAAGGGGCCACTGGGGGCATCCACAGAGACCCACCTGCAACCGGCTCATCCATGGAAAAGGCCTTGTTCTCCACGAACATGCTCTGACCCTTCTGCTCTTTCAGGATGGTCTCATAGCCCACGCCCCGGGTGGGGTACATGTCCCCCTGGTAGCTTTGCTCTGGGCTGGACTTGGTCACCTGGGAGACCTCGGGGATGACGTAGAAGAGGACGAAGGCCCAGGCATTGGCGGCGAGGGCGATGGCCAGCGTGGGGTCATCCCAGGTGGGACTGTTGTGCTGCTTGTTGCCGTAAGTATACATGACGATCCACACCACCCATATGGCAACGGAGGTGGCTGTGGTGAGGAGCACAAAGACCCCATGCTTACGCCAGCGCTTGTAGCGGCCACACAGGGCGGGCCAGGCCCCCAGGAAGGCACCCAGCAGCAGCAGCATGACGTAGATGAGTGCCATGACAAAGTCCATGTTGGCGATGGCACAGGGGGAGGCCACGGCCCAGCCTGCGCTGCTGTTGCCCTGAGGGCCGCCCTCGCCACTGCCCCGAACCAGGGTGATGATCAGCCACTCTGTATTGATGATGACCTCTACCAGGGTCAGCAGCAGAGCCACAGTGAAGATCACCCAGCCCCGGGGCCCGTGGTTCTTCCGGGCCAGGAAGTTGAGGGCAAAGACGTGAGCCGCCAGACAAGAGAAGCAGATGGCGAACAGAACCCCAAAGAGGAAGCGCCGAGAGGCACAGGTGGAGAAGTCGGGCTTCACCACACAGGCAAACACGAGGCAGAAGAGGCCCAGGGTCCCCAGAAGGAAGAATACCTGGGTCCCCAGCAGGCTCCGTTTCTTGGTGTCCTGCACAAAGGGGAGGCTGGCCACCAGGATGATGGTGAGCACAAACGTGGTGACAATGCCCGCCCCAGCCACGGCCTCCAGGACGATGCCCCACGCCCCAGAGCGGTCACACAGGTTGTAGTACAGGGGGTTGAGGCCTTGGCTGCAGCCGGGTGGGACATGGCCCTGGGCCCAGGCCCCTGGGAACAGGAAGAGAGGCAGTCCCAGGCACATCACCAAGGCTTTGTGGATGGCCATCCTGGCTCCCAGGCCAGGCTCTGGTTGGGTCCCTAGAGACAGAAGGAAAAGGGACAAAATTAGTCCTCCAAGATCAGACTCCAATATACATGGTGCTGCTTCCCCCAACCTAAACCCAGGCAGATAGTGCTAGCTGCTGACCGTGAGGCTCTCTGGACCTCAGAATCCTTCTTAACATAGAACCCCTGAGAGGCATTTCAACTGGCCACAGAGGCAAATGAGATGAAGCCCATTTGTCAGCCCTATTCCTAGCCATGGCAAAAGAAAAACCTGTCATTGAATTTTCAGTTCCCTCCCTTCCACCAAACATAACCTGGGTTCAGATATTCCCTGAGCTCTGGCGGCCACGGTGGAGGATGAAGGGGCTTGTGAACAAGTCAAGACCAAGCATACCACCCACCCAGTACCTCCTCTCTGCCCTGGGACTTTCAGGCTTCAGGAGGTCAGCTGCTATGCCCCTAAACTCCATTCCTGTGAGGCCTAAATCCACAGCCAGTCAGCTATGTGTTCATTCATTCATTCAATAGACTTAACAAGCAGCTGCAGCAGGCATAACCAACAGCCAGGAAAAATGAAGAGACAGTCATTTTCCCACTTTTAGTGCCAAGTCTCCAGTTCAGAATCCTCCATTTTTTGCCTAGCTCGGAAGCGGAAGTCAAGGGTGAAATAAACGAAGTCCCCAGCTAAGGAGTTAATGACTTAATGCAAAAATTTTCCTTCGGAGCATTAACATTTTAAAAGTAAGAACCAGGCAAGGGCAATGCAAAACCCAAAGGAATTAATCTTTAATAGAAGACTTTAAGACGTTGTAGCTAGAAGGCAAGAAAATTAGCTTTTATTAACACCAGCAAGGTAATTTTCACTCCATCTACTGACTGCCGCTCTACCAAATGCCACAGATCTGTGCCAGAGAAGAAAACCAAACTCCTGCTCCCAATACCAATTGGATTTTCCCACGTGAAGTGGAGGTAATGGATTTAACAGGTTAAGAAATATTAAAGACCAAATCAATGAGTTTTTTTCCAATCAAAAGTTTTAAATGTACTTGGAGGAAACCTAACACTGAAAATTTAAATGCTGCTGGGCACGGTGGTTCATGCCTATAATCCCAGCACTTTGGGAGGTCAAGGTGAACAGATTGCTAGAGTCCAGGAGTTTGAGACCAGCCTGGGCAACATGGTGAAACCCCGTCTCTATAAAAAACACAAAAATTAGCAGCTGGGTGCAGTGGCTCACGCCTGTAATCCCAGCACTTTGGGAGGCCAAGACTGGTGGATCACTTGAGGTCAGGAGTTCGAGACCAGCCCGGCCAAAATGGTGAAACCCCGTCTCTACTAAAAATACAAAAATTAGCCGGGCGTGGAGGTGCACGCCTATAATACCAGCTATTCAGGAGGCTGAGGCAGGAGAATTGCTTGAGCCCGGGAGGTGGAAGTTGCAGTGAGCCAAGACTGCGCCACTGCACTCCAACCTGATCAATAGAGTGAGACTCTGTATGAAAACAAACAACAACAACAACAACAAATATATATATATATATATATATATATATATATATATATATATATATGAATTAGCAGAGAGTGTGGTGGCATGCACCTGTAGTCTGAGCTACTTGGGAGGCTGAGGTTAGAGGATCATCTGAGCCCAGGGGATCGAGGCTGCAGTGAGCTGCGATTGCACCACTGCACTGCAGCCTGGGCAACAGAGCGAGACTGTTTCCAAAAAAAAGAAAGAAAAGAAAAGAAAAGAAAAAGAAAATTTAAATGCTTAAAGAAACAGGTTATACGTTTCAAAATTCTATGAATGCAGGTAGTCCACATTTAAGTCACCCCACGTGTTCAAATAACTAGTTGTAACCCAGCTTCATCAGGAACTCTCTGGGAAAACAGCAACCAAGCTTTCCTGGTCTGACAGTGACCACTAGTGGCTGGCAGGGGAATGGCATTATCTAACTCTCTTCTGTGAGGCTGCCACCCTTTTTCCTTTTTTAGGGGGATTGTGAGGTTGTTTATACATGGTTTACCTCCTTACTGTTTTCTACCATTCCTGGCTACTTAATTTCTAATAGGCAAACAAAAGCCCTAAATCCCACAGTTGATAGAAATTGTCCCTCTTTTCAACACAGAAGCAAAAAAAAAAAAAAATTCTGTCCATAATTGTTATGTGAAAGAACACTTACTAAATCAGGGGCAATGCAACTCATAAAATTAAGTGAAATGGACACAATAAAGAGGATCCATTTTCAAAGTCCCTTCAAATAGTCTCCATGCCACTTGAAAATATTTAGGTCGTCTTAGCCATCTCAGCTACCTCATCTTTCAATTAAGCTTGCTTAAGATTAACTCTTAAAATTAACTATCTCATGTAAATGTACTGTTGTTTTCCTAAATAACTGGCGTTCTAATGGCTAGTTTCTCTTTACTTCTAATGCAGGACTTAAATAAGCTTCTGTAGGGGACTTTGTAAATCAATAAAGCACCAACTGCATTTTATTTACAAGTGCTGGAAAGAGGAGTAAGAGAGGGCTAAGAGGTAAGGAGTAGGCTGGGTGCGGTGGCTCATGCTGTAATCCCAGCACTTTTGGCGGGCAGATCACGAGGTCAGGAGTTCCAGACCAGCCTGACCAACATGCTGAAACCACGTCTCTACTAAAAATACAAAAATTAGCCAGGTGTGGTGGCGTGCGCCTGTAATCCCAGCTACTCAGGAGGCTGAGGCAGAAGAATCCCTTGAACCTGGGAGGCAGAAGATTGCAGTGAGCCGAGATTGCGCCACTGCACTCCAGCCTGGGTGACGGAGCGAGACTCCATCTCAAAAACCAAAAACAACAACGACAACAACAACAACAACAAAAAAGGGAAGGCGTAATATGGACCCACTCCTGGGAGATAATTTATGGATAACAACAAGCTGTGGGATCCTAAATGTTCAACTTCATCTTGGGCTCCACAGCCAAACCAGCCAGAACTTGGGCTTGAAGCTGGACGTAGGGAAGAGAACCCTCAGAACTGCCACTTAGACTCCGGACACCTGCACTTTCAAGGGCTTTTCACCCCACCTCCCTCGGCCAGGGCCCAGTTTAGAACAGGCAATTACTCCAAATCAGCAAATATTGACTGTGCGCCTGGGAAGGAAAGGCCCTGTTGTTCCCAGAGCTGTGGAAAATACAAACATGAACAAACGTAGTCCCTGACTTGATGGCATTTAAAATCTATCAAGAGAGATAAGGTAGGTACTCACAAAAATTACACAAGGAAGAATATGATTAAGGGCCACACAACGGAATTTACCTGCAGGAGAGAGACAGGGGCTACAGGAACACAGAAGAGAAACAGGCAGAGTAGAGAAAGACTGTTCCGCAGAGTTTTACTCAGAATCTAATAAAAAAACATACCAGGTCCCAGACACTGCCAAGAGACAGGGACACCCAAAAGCTAAGCCCTGAAGAATGTGAGGAAGGACTGAGCAGGTGAAGGGAACAAGGAGAGGGACGTGCAAGGCAGAAAAGATGGTGTGAATCAAAGCCCTTTGAGCCCAAGTCCAGAGCAAGTTAAAAAAGAATTCAGTTTGCCAAGTATCAGCTGAGTCTGCAAAGGGAGGCTGCAGCTGCTGGCTGACACATTGGAAATGCTACAGGGGTGGGGCTGGGGGCATTATCCTAAAGGCAACAGGCAGCCACTGAAGGCTGCTTTTAGCATCATGGGGGCATAGCCAGGGTTGCGCTTTTAGGAAAAGAGTCTGGCAAAAATGCACAGGCAATCGATTTGTTGGGGGGCACATTCATTCCAGTTTAAAGGTCAAGGCCAAAGGTAAAGCCATAATGGCCAGCTCTGAAAGATCCTTTCCAAAAAACAATCGAAGGACTGGTTGGATGGCGGAGGTGGGGGAAAAGGATACTAAAGCCCATACTACAAGTTCAAATCTAACAGGCATGTCATTACAGAAAACCAAGCCAGGGACCAATGTCACTCATTCTTCTTGATCCATCTTGCCCTAGAAATACTTGCCTGTACCCTGCTGGCTCCAAGAAGCCCACAGGCACTTGGGCTAGGGTCAGGAAAGCTTCACAGCTCTCTGTCCCTAAGCCCCCACCTCCAGTTTCCCCCTGATTTTGTGGTTGGTGACCAGCAACTTCCTTCTGCACCTGACCCTTCAAGTCTTGCTTCTCCTGCCAACCCCCTCAATATAGAAACTTTCAAGGAATGAGAGAGGAGCCTGTACCTGCCCCTCACCGCATCCAGGTACCATGCTGCTGCCCAGCAGCCAGGCTGCTGCTTTTAGTAAGTTGCTGAGTAACTTAACAGCCTCAGAGGAAACAACCTGGTCCCATCCTGAAATATCTTATTTCTCTGGTTCCCCCAGAAATGGAAGGGCAGGTGGGAAGACAGAAATACATGGACTCAGGTGGGAAACCTGGGCTTTCTGGGCGTGGCTCTCATCCACTGCCTAGGACAGGGACCCTCAGAGAGTTAAAGAGAAGCTCAGAAGAGCACAGCTCCAGCCCTCTGATGCCGGGAGTGCACATTCAGCCAATGCCTTTTTTTTTTCTTTTTTTGAGACGGAGTCTCGCTCTGTCGCCCAGGCTGGAGCGCAGTGGCGTGATCTCGGCTCACTGCAAGCTCCGCCTCCCAGGTTCATGCCATTCTCCTGCCTCAGCCTCCCGAGTAGCTGGGACTACAGGCGCCCGCCACCACGCCCGGCTAATTTTTTCTATTTTTAGTAGAGACGGGGTTTCACCGTGTTAGCTAGGATGGTCTCAATCTCCTGACCTCGTGATCCGCCCGCTTCGGCCTCCCAAAGTGCTGGGATTACAGGCGTGAGCCACTGCGCCCAGCCTTTTTTTTTTTCTTGAGACGAAGCTTCACTCTTGTTGCCCAGACTGGAGTGCAATGGCATGATCTCGGCTCACTGCAACCTCCAACTCCCAGGTTCAAGCAATTCTCCTGCCTCAGCCTCCCGAGTAGCTGGGATTACAGGTGCCCACCACCATGCCCAACTAATTTTTGTATTTTTAGTAGAGACAGGGTTTCACTATGTTGGCCAGGCTGGTCTCAAACTCCTGACCTAAGGTGATCCACCTACCTCAGCCTCTCAAAGTGCTGGGATTACAAGTGTGAGCCACCGTTCCCGGCCCAATGCCACCTTTTAAGATGGTGGCTAAGGGACTGACAAGATGGACTCAGCTCTGGTCAGAGGCTTTTCCTCAGGACCCTGGAGGAAACTTCTGCCTCCTGTGGGTCCCCAGACCCTGCACTAAGACTGAGCCTTCTGATCCCTGAACGTTCAAATCATGTCCGTGTCTCCCCTCCAGGGCTGTAAGGTCTTTGAAGCTGGTGAACAAGACTTCTAGAATCCACTGCCACAGCTGGTGCTGTGCCTGAACACAGTGGGCATTTGGAAGTCACCTCTGGATGGTCCCAGGTGCATTTCTCCACACCCAGGGTTGTCCCCTCCATGTTGGAGTTGCATCTTCTGCTTAAAGATTCTCAGAGGGTTCAAGGAGGGGGGTAGGAGGGGAACCTCCTTCCGCCCTGAGTCTCCCCCACCCCACAGCTGAAGCCCAGCTCCAGCCTCAGATTATTTTCTGGACAAAAGGGCCTTTTGCTTCACTTCCCTGGAATCAGTTGTACAAATATTTTTAATCGCCTCCGAAATCGGCCTTTCCCCAGGCTCAGCCACCCTGCCCCCAGCTCTCCTGTGAGTCAGTGCAGTCCAGTTGCTGAACCTCCCTCCTCCCTCCTTCTCTCTCCAGGGGGCGCAGAGGCCTGGTGGGCTCAGAGGCTCAGAGGCCCAGAGGCCCAAGCAGCCCTGACTGGTTTCCCCCAGCAACAAGTGGCTTCATCCAGCAACCGGGGAGACAGCCAGGCCTTCTCACTTCTCCAGAGCAAAACTCCCTTCCTCGCTCCAGCATCATCCACACACAAGCCTGAGACCCCCTCCACCCACCAGGGCCAAGGATACCGCACTGGAAAGAGAGCTCCAGCGCGTCACAGGGCCAACCAAACTCAACACTGACCCATGGCCAATGGCTGTCTTCAAGGGTGCTGTGACCAGGGCACTCTTCAGGGAGGTTCCCCCAGGGATACCACAGAGCACTTGCCTTCCTCCCATCCCACACACTCAAGAGCCTATAGGGAAAGACGATGGCCCGACTGACAGCCTTCCTGCCTCCACTCCTATCGGTCTCTCCCAGTCCCTGGTTAGGTCCCACTGTCTCACCCCTCTGTGCAGGGCGCTCAGGCGTTTACCCCATCGATAAGAAGGCGCACAGGAGACGCCTGTGCCTGGAAGGAGCGGCCTCAGTGTGTAGGTTGGTGGGGGGTGGGTTGGGGTTCCTCGAACCTCAGCCTAGACACCCCACCCCTATCCCCCTGCCCCTGCCCCGCACCAAGACCAGGCATTTGGGCCAAAATGCCCTGAGCTCTCTGAGACTTGGAAATCTTCAAGGGTCTGCTCTGGAATGTCACTCTGGAATGCGCCCCACCCCCCAATGCACTCCCTCCCCCAGTCCAGTTGAAGGCACAGGGGTGGGGGGCCGGCGGGGAGAGGAAGCTCCAGGAGCACAAAACCCTACTTCCAACAGTCTCCTCTCCCGGGCTTTAGGATCTTGATCGTGGAGTTTGTAAGTGATTGGGTCTTCCAGCGTGTAACACTGCGGGCCTGGGGATGGAGGTGCAAAGGACGCTGGAAAAGCCAGCCGGGAGTGGGGGTTCGGGATCTAGGGGCCAGGCTACCAGAAGGGGAGGCGCTTTGATAGTCTGAATTTCCAAACTTCCCTCAGGGGGATTCTGAACCCTCTCGTCCCTACTTGGGTCGACGGTACTGGGGTCTACACCTGCGCTCCCTGGGTGGCTGGAATGGGGAGCAAGGGAACCAGTCACTCTCTCCCATTTTTAGGGCCACAGAAACCTGCCCTCCACATCCACAGTAGCAGGCGGCAGAGAGGACGCCACCCACGAGAGAGAGTGACCGCGGACTCCCACCGAGAGGCAGGCGGTGGAGGGGCTCCTCTTGGAGACCCCGATTATGGAGTGGTTTCCCCTCCCTCCAGCCCGAGCCGCAGCGCCGGGCTCCCCCACCCCCCCAGTCCCCAGCCGGCTCGGGTTTGAAAACTTTCAGCGACCGAGCGGAGTTGGCGCGGCGTCCCCAGCCCGCAGGATGTCCAGTCCCCCCGCCTCTGCCCTCGCCCACTCCCCGCCGTCCCGACCCGACTCTTCCGGGCGGCGGAGCGGGAAGGCAGCAGCCCTTACCTGGGACTCGCCGCCGGCCCCGCTCCAGCGCAGCGTTTGGGGCCAACTCCAGCCCCAGGCGGGGGGCGGGCGGGGGTGGGAGGGACGCGGCGCGGGGCGCTGGGCCAGGCCCGGTCCTGGCTGGGATGGCGGGGCCCGGGCCGGGACGCAGGGCCTGCCTCTCCCTGGGACCGAGGCTGAGCCAGGCGCGCTGGGTTGCTCGCTCTCGCGCGGGCCTGTCCCCAGGCAGGGCTCCTTGCTTTCGGCGAGGGTGGGCTGGAGCCTGCATCACCGTTACATCACCTCCATTCAGGGCGCTAATCGGGCGCCCGCCGCGCTCCAGGTACGTGCGCTCCGTTTACACAGGAACAAAGCCTGCCCGGCCCTCCCCGCCCCGACTCACCTCCAGGCTGAGCCGACTCGTACTTTCCGGCTGGTGAGGGAGATGGGAGTTTCTGGCCCTGCCGGCGTGTGGGTTGTTGCTGTTGACTGCCACGCCCCCGCATGCGGGCGCGCGCACACTCACGCGCACTCACTTTCTGGGCTCGGCCTTCGCCGGGGCAATTGGTGTGAGGGTGCAGCCCTGCGCACCCCCCACCGCGTCTTCCAGAGAGCGCGCCTACGGACACGCGCGGGGCTACCTTGGCGCGTCTCCGTGGGGGACACCTAGCCTTTGTCACCTTCGTCCTGGCCCTCCCGTGAGACACACTTCAGGCACAGTTCGCTGGGAGCGGGCCGGAGCGAGGCGCACACTCAAGACAGAGTCCGTCTTTGTCACGCCTTCTGCGCCCCCTCCCCTCCCCAGCTTGCACACGTGGACACACCGCACACCGAGGTTCGCCTTTTGCACGCACGGTCCTTCTCTGGGACCTCCACCAGTCACCAAGCGTACGTGGGATCGTCACCAAGCGCTCCTCTCACGCGTGGGCCGAGTCCAGACCACTCTGGACCGTGGGCAAAGGTCCCCCTCGGCCCGACTACCCCGCGCCCGGGTTTCCTGTGACCGTTCCAGGTTCTGCCCAACTCGGAGCGCGCTCTCCCCTCCCGGCGTCCCCGTTCCCTGCTCCGACTTGTCCTAATTAGCCTTCACGGTTTTGTTCCCCGAGGTACAGTGTTTAGCGCGACCCCCTGGGCCTCTGCGCTCCGGGACACGTTGGCTCTGACTCCGAGTCCGTCCTTTCCAGGAGGTCAGGTTCCCACCAGCCCCACCCCCCACTCCCTGTTCCGGGGTGGATCTGTGGGTTGCCACCCTTTCCCCTCCGGCCCCAGGAATCTGCTGAAGCTGGACCGCAGAAATTGGGAAGCGAATCCAGGCTGGTACTTATCCAGCCCGATAAACAAGAGATTTTCCGGCCGCCTTCCCCCGGGGCTGCTGGCCTCGCGGGGGGTGGGGTGCGCAGTCCTGGGGGCCCGCAGCGAGGCCTAGTTAGCCCGCGCCAGAGGCCCGTAGGGGCTGAGGCGCACAGAGGAGGGAGAGGTTGTTGGGCCTGGCCAGGGCCCTGGAGACGCGGAGGGAGGGCAGGGCGCCGAGTCTCGGGGTGCCGGTTCTCATGACGCCGAATTGCCTGGGGGATCGCCAGCGGTGCGCCGGTCGGAGCCAGCTGGTGGCGGGGCGGGCGGCCCGGAGTGTTTGCTCAACCCTGAGCGCCCGCGAGGGGGAGGGGAGGCAGCTGGTCACGGGCTAGGGGGTAGCAAGGTGGAGGAGCGGGGGCTGGGAAAGGGGAGGGTATCTCCCGGGCTGCTTGTTTGCGTGCCTGCCGCGGTCTACGACAACCGGGAGTCTAAACTCTATGAATCACCCGGAGTTGCTGGAGCGATAAACCTCAGGCTGGTTCCTCCCCTCGCACACCGGCTTCTCGGACTCCTGGAGGGAATGTTTGCTTAGCGGCCGGAGCTGGCGGTGAGGCCCTGGTTCTCTAGAACCCTGTATCCCTTCCTGGCCTTGCCCTCACGGGCTGGTCTGGGGTGGCGAAGACTGAATTGTTTCAAGTCTCTTCAATATTAAGAAGAGGGGCGCAGTGCTGCTGCTGATCTGTTGCTCACTCCTGGGCTCCCTTCCGTAGCTCCACCTCCCACCCTAAGATTCAGAGGCCCCCATGCCAGGGAGGCAAACGCTTGTAGGGTCCAAGCAGTTGAGTGCCAACGCTAGAAAGGCAAACGGCGGGTCAGACCTAGGCGAGGGGCATCCGTGACTGTGGGCTGGGACTAGTTCTCGTGAAGCAGGCAACTGGTGCTGAACACAGTGTGCTGGGAGGGGCCGCTCATTAGCATATGTGAAAAGCCAGCTAAGAGCTAGAGGAAGGTGGAATGGAAATAGTCCCCGAGACTGCTTGTGACCTTAAGAAGCCAAAGATGAATTGTGGATCTGGCAGATCTGTTTCAATTTATTTTCAAGCTTTGGGAATCTCTTTTCCCTACCTAGATTCTCCAAAAAGGCAACTCTTTACCACTCCCTCCCGACCCAGGCGGGGGAAAGGCTGGGGCATCTGAGGCCTGGACGGAGCAGCGGAGCCCTGCCCACTGCCAGCCCTGCATGGTAGATGGCGGCGGATATGTAGGGAGGTTTCCTGAGAGCTGTTTGCTCTTTTTGTGTTCACTCCGTCTCACTTCCTGGGCAGGATTTGCCTTTAAAGGACAAAGCAAGTCCTTTGGGGCCGATGACATGGGCTTCAGCCTTCAGGGTCCCTGTTGGTCTCTGCTCTAGTCCCGGGGGCCTGTGCTGGTCCAGAGTGGGGAGGCAAGAGTTGGAGAAGGCATGAGACCCCTCCACCATGAGTCAGACCCTGGTGGGGGCTGCTGGACCCAGCGAGCCTGTGATGCTGGAAGGGAAGTTCTGTGGGAGGTGGCGCTGCTTTCCGAGACTCCAGCCACAGGGTCCTCTGTGCCCCCAAATGTCCTTCACTTTGATTTAATACCCCAGTAGGCGTAGAACCCATTGCAAACTCTGTTTTCACCAAAAAACTACACTCTGAGAAGTGTTCAAAGAGTGCTACTGTTCAAAGAGATCTTGAGGCCCAGCACAGTGACTCACGCCTATAATCCCAGCATTTTGGGAGTCCTAGGTGGGAGGATCGCATGAGCCCAGGAGTTGGAGACCAGCCTGGGCAACATAGACTTCATCTCTATTGAAACAAACGAAAAAGAAAATAGATATGGGGTCTCACTGTGTTGCTCTGGCTGGTCTTGAACTCTTGAGCTCCAGCGATCTTTCCGCCTCGGCCTCCCAAAGTGCTGGGATTCCAGGTATGAACCACTGCGCTCAGCCTATTTATTTTATTTTTTTTAATATATGAAATAAAAAGGAAAAAAAAAGATTCTGGATTGCGGAGAAGCATGTCTGTGTCCACCACCCAACTACCTCCACCCCCACCTGAGTTGGATTCCTACTGGCAGAGTGAGAAACCCTTTGTTCGTTGGAAAGCCTCCTTCAGAGATGTCTGAGGTCTTGACAAGGCCCAAAGGTGGGAACACCTGTGCCACCTGCCGGCTGTGTGACTTGGATGAGTTGCTTCATCTCTCTGAGCCCTGCTTTCCTCAACTGTAAAACTGGATGATAACATCACCCCCAGAATGAAGCTGTGTCTGGAATGTTCCTCACACAAGCCTGGTGCTTACAGGGAGCCAGCGATCAGCCTCCCCTTTCCTGGCATGATTGTCATTCCCTCTAAGCCTTGACAGGTCTGACAGTTTTTATTTATAATTTAAATTTAAATTAATCAATTATTTTTGAAACAGGATCTCACTCTGTCACCCCAGCTGGAGTGCGGTGCTGCGATCTCGGCTCAGTGCAGCCTCAACTTCCCAGGCTCAAGCAACCCTCCTGCCTCAGCCTCTCGAGTAGCTGGGACTATAGGAGTGCATCATCATGCATGGCTAATTTTTGCATTTTTTTGTAGAGATGGGGTCTCACTATGTTGCCCAGGCTGGTCTGGAACTCCTAGGCTCAAGCAATCCTCCCTCCTTGTCCTCCCAAAGTGCTGGGATTACAGGCATGAGCCACCGTGCTTGGCCTAATGGTTTTTAACCCAAACTCTTGCAGAAGCTGGCATTCTTTCAGTTCTGTTTCACCATGATTGGAATAGCTTTGCCATGCCATGCTCTGTGTGATGTTCCTTCCACCTCGAACATTTTATGCCTCTTACCATCCTTTTTCTTTGTGACCAAAAAGTTTTAAAAAATCTGCCCTGCCCCAAAGCTCAGCTCCAATGTTCCTTCCTCTGTGAAGCGATCCTCACCTTCCCACGAAAGACCCATTGTGAGTTGCCCTATTTACCCACAGCCTGTTACACATTCATTTATTTATCATTTATCCTAGTGTATCATAATTAGCCTTCTAAATTGTTTTTTCTCCAATTACACTGTGCCCTTCTAGAGAGCCAGGGACATGTCTCACTCATCTTGTTTTCCCTGGCATCTGGCACTCAGACGGGTGTGGGTAAATGTTTTCAGTAAATGCTTGTGGAATATCCGTTATTCTGTGGCTGGCCACGGCCGATCTTCCCCCTCACACCAGCAGCCTTGCAAACAGCACCACCCCTGCCCTGCCTCCCGTACCCCACTTTCTGAGAAGCAGGCAAGCCCCAGTGCCTACTGGAGAAGTCACCTGCCATGGGGCTGCAATGCCCTGCATCAGAGATGAGGGCAGGAGGCCCTGGCACCCCGGCTTTGGGCATGGAGAGGCCTACCCAGGGAGAGCCAGAGGTCAGTTGTGTTGTTTAGAGGGACTTCCCAGTTTGCCTGGGCAGCAGGAGTTCTGGATTGCAGTCTCACCCTGCAGAATCTCCAACAGGAGCCATTTCCTCCTCCACAGAGTAGAAGGCCTGCTCCCTCTACCTGGGGAGTGGAGAGCCCTAGGTCTTGCAGCCAGGCCCCAGATGGGGAGGAATAGTCCCTCACTGAGCTGAGGGTGGGGCTCCTGCTTCCTGACAAGTTGGGGCCTGGAATCCTGTGCTAGGTGGCTGGGTGCCCTGCAACCCACAGCCGGCTGCTGGTAAACAGCATTTCACCTCTCCTTGCTCCCAGGCTCATATTAACTGGTTCCTGCCCTGGCTGCAGTGTCTGGCCAAATCTCTTTTTCTCTTAGGCTCATAGGACTTTCTGCTTGGAGCAGCGGGAACTGCCTAGTTTTTTGAAAGGACTCGGGTCCCATCGTGGCCCCTTAAGAAGGAGGAAGCCAGGGCCAGGGAGCAGGCGAGTGAAACCCTCATTCACCACAACTGGCTGCCCATGGGTGATCGCTCTGGAAGTGTACCCGGAAGCAGGCCTTGGGCAGAGTCCACTGGAATGTCACCTGATGCTGAACCCTCCCCCATGGCTGCAAAATCTGCTCCTCCCTCATCCCCCTCCCTGCCCAGGGCTCAGTGGCCGCTAACCAACTCCCTGTGGAAGGAGAGAACGGGGTCCCCTGAGCTGCTCTGATCTGGTCAGCCTCCATCCACAGACTGCGCAAATCCTGAGAACCAGACATCAAGGCCAAGGGTCCAGGGATCCAGGCCACTCAGTCAGCCTGCCTCTATCAAAATCAAAATGGAAACGTGTAGCCCTCACTGCAATTTGTTCCCCTACCTTCAGGAAGCGTCTCACCCCAATCTGTGAGCATTTCGGGGGGAGCATTCCTTCTACCTTGCTGCAGTGGCTACACCAGCCCCCAGAGTGATGGCCCCTGGTGGCAGTCTTCTCCAGTCACCCTGCAAACCCCCATCCGGGGCAGGACCTTCACTGACTTCACCCCAACACCTTTCATTCCTAACACCTTCACTGGCTCCTGGTGCCTTTATGTGAAAGTCCAGGCTCCCTTGCCTGGCATTCAAGGCCTCTGCAACCTGTACCTAGCCTTGACTCCAGCCTCTTCTCCTTCCTGTTCCCCCACAGGAAATGGTCACTCCAGCCTGAGAAGCCTGCTCTGAGTCTGCCTCGCCCCCGCACTTGCCTTCCTGTGAGTTCGCTCACATGTCCCGTATTCTCAATCCAGGATGCCTCTCTCCTCCTCTCGACCTCTTGATTCCATCCCCCTTTAAAGCCCTTGGCTCCTCCCAGAGGCTTTTGCTGGTACCCCCCACCCTGTAGTCCTCTTCCTCCCTCTGCTCTCCTGGGATCCCACCTCTGGCATGCATTTGCTACTCTTACATGGCTCTGCCTTAGATGTATCTTTTTCGTTTTTTTTTGAGACGGATTCTTACTCTGTTGCCCAGGCTGGAGCACAGTGGTGCAATCTTGGCTCACTGCAACCTCTGCCTCCTGGGTTCAAGCGATTCTCCTGCCTCAGCCTCCCAAGTAACTGGGATTACAGGCGCCCACCACCACACCCAGCTAGTTTTTTTTTTTTTGTATTTTTAGTAGAGACAGGGTTTCACTATGTTGGCCAGGCTCGTCTCAAACTCCTCACCTCTGCTGATCCGCCCATGTTGGCCTCCCAAAGTGCTGGGATTATAGGCATGAGCCACCGTGCCCGGCCAGGTGTATCTTATAAACAGAGATCTTGCCTCCCTGGCTCATGATAGGTCTGTAGGGAATGGACTCTGGATTTCATGCCTCTCCACGCCCATGGTCCCTAGCACAGTGCTTTATACATCCAAAAAATGGGCACTACATATCTGTGGATCAATTGGATTGATTGGCCAAGAGCTGAGAGAGGCTGTCAGCCTTCTATAAGGGGAAAGGAGGCCTCAGGGTCTAGACTTTGCTTTGCTGCTGACAAGAACCCAGTACTCAGATCCTGGGCTCCCTGTGGCTCCCAGAATTCCAGGCGGAGAAGTTCAGAGAGATGCTGGCTAGTTGGATAATACGATACCCATAATAGCTTACCTCTGTATATTGCTGTACAATTTCAAGCACCTTTTATATATATTTGATGCTTACAACCCTATAAGCCTCCATAAGGCAGATGTTATTGTCTCCATCTTATATATTTAAAGACTGAGGTTCATAGAGACTCAGTGGCTAGCTGTAGATTAGAACTATCTTCCTTTAGCCTGCTGGACTTGCACCTCACTGTACCGTGCTCCCCAGTACACTTCTCTTATCTCTTATATAGCCCTGACATTTTCTGCCTTATCGATGGTTATTTCTGTCATGCTTTATGTCCCCAGCCAAGGTATAAGCTCTTGGGAAGGGAAGATGTGTGCCTGACCCATCTTTGTGTTTCCCCTGGGGCCCTGCCTCAATTAATACTTGTAAGGGAATAAATGAATGAAGGAGGATACTGGAAAACACATAACTGTTGTCAAGCTGGAAACGGGCTTGGCCACCCTCCCTTCTTCCAACAATCCCTTCACCTTCAGACGCCAGCTTCAAGACCGCACTGCACGGGGCAATTGCCTGGCCTGTGGCAGGGCTGTGTCTCCCTGCCCGCCCATCTTCATTTCCCATCCCTATTCTGCTGGTGGCCACTGGCCTCCTAAAGTCACATCCGCCTGGCACACACTGCAGCCTCCCCTACCTGCAGGGCCATTCAGCCCTTTAACACCTTCTCCAGCCACTGCCACCAAAGACTTCAGGAGACCCACTCACTGATGCCACCCTCTTGCCTGGGATTTGAGGCCACCCCTGACTCAGCTGGGGCCCCAGGTAATGGTGGGAGAGCCGCAGGGGAGTCAGACATGCCCCCACTCACCAGAGATGGTGCCTCCAGCAGGGCAGGGCAGGGCCAGCCAGCTGGCTTCTGGGTGGTGTCCAGTCCCAGCTGTCCCCGGCAGTGCTTGAGGCTTGACTCGTCTCGCTCTCCGGAAGCCCAGCTGCGGCGCAGCCCGAGGCTGCCGGGAACCTAGCCGCGCTATTCTGGGAGTGTGATGGAGCCCCAGAAGGCTTGGCAGGGGCTGAGATTTCAGCCCTTTGGTTTCCACGCCGTTCTCCTCCCCTCTGATGATACGGCAGAGTTCAATCATTATGCAAAATTCAGAACCACTGATGGTGCGTTTGAGGGTCTTAATAGCAGCCGTGGTTATGCTAAAGTGGGACCTGGGTCTATACTTCAGGCCTCGGATGCAATAGCCTTCATTCTTGCTGTCACTCACATGGCCTTTCGGCATTTTCCTTTGGTTTTATAATTTGTCCTCATGCCCACCCTGATACATTAACCCATTCACAGGCACGAGACAATCCCTCCCAGTTAAACCCAGTGACCAATTTCCTCTGAGGGTCTATTTTCCTATTAAAAAAATTTGGTTTTTTTTTTAACCACTGGACTATGTGGGATCTCTTTTTTTAATTGAGACTGGATGATTCTGCAGTGTAAGCAATAAAAGAAAGTTGACTTTGGGGGACAAATGATTAGAGCTGTAATCAAACTCAACTTCCAACAAAGCAAAGCGCCCCAGGGTTGGCCTCTGAGAAGCTGCACCCCCCAGACGATGGGGCTGACTTCGTTATCCTTACGGGGAAGCTGGAGGCCAGGGTGAGAGGAGCCTACCAAGGTCACGTGGTGACGGGCATAAAGCTTAAGCCTGGGTTTTTGTTTGTTTGCTTGTTTGTTTGTTTGTTTTGAGACGGAGTCTTGCTTTGTTGCCCAGGCTGGAGTGCAGTGGTGCCATCTCAGCTCACTGCAGCCTCCGCCTCCTGGGCTCAAGCGATTCTCCTGCCTCAGCCTCCCGAGTAGCTGGAATTACAGGTGCCCGCCATCACGCCCAGCTAATTTTTGTATTTTTAGTAGAGATGGGGTTTCACCATATTGGCCAGGCTAGTCTCGAACTCCTGACCTCAGGTGATCCACCCGCCTCTGCCTCCCAAAGTGCTGGGATTACAGGTGTGAGCCACTGTGCCCGGGCTTAAGCCTGGGTTTTGACTTCCCCACATGGAATCACAGTTTTAGAGCTAGAGGGGCAGTAGAGGAGCCCAAAGAGCACAGAACTTGCCTATCTATAAAATGGGGCAATGGGCAGGGCACAGTGGCTCACGCCTGTAATCCCAGTACCTTGGGAGGCTGAGGCGGGTGGATTGCTTGAGGTCAGGAGTTCAAGACCAGCCTGACCAACATGGTGAAACCCTGTCACTACTA